>NW_025791809.1:0-226166 GCF_000001405.40 Homo sapiens | reverse complement strand
GAATTCATCTGGTTGATAACACCCAAAGCCCCGCGTCTATCACCTTGTGAAAGATTTAAAGCCCTGCACCTGAAACTGTTTGCTTTCCTATAACCATTTATTCTTTTAACTTTTTTGCCTGCTTTACTTCTGTAAGGTTGTTTTCACTAGACTGCCTCCCTCCCCTTTCTAAACCAAAGTATAAAAGAAAATCTGGCCCCTTCTTCGGGGCTGAGAGAATTTTGAGCACTAGCCGTCTCTCGGTCACCAGCTAATAAAGGACTCCTGAATTCGTCTCAGAGTGTGGCATTTCTCTGTACCTAGCTCAGTTACAACATTTGGAGGCCCCAGCAAGATTTTTTTGTCACCGGGTGAGAGCCAGACTCATTCCAGGCTCCCCTGGACAGACAGCAGACTTATAGGGGAGGCACCACCAGAAGACGTTCCAGGGCCCCATAAGACCCTATCTTCCAGACGGGAATGGATCGACCACTGGTGTGTGCCCACAAAAATTCAACTCCTGAGTCCTCAGTTTCTGGTCCTGGGAAAGTAAGTCAGATCTGACTCTGTTTCTCTGGGAGGGAAACGGCTCTGACAAGGCCCTCCCTTTTTGACTCTGCCCACATTCCAGGACGCTGGAGGACAGAGTCCTGGTTTTCTGTTAGGCACCTCTGTGTCTCTCTGGGAGGGAAGCAGCCCTGACGATGGCCCTCCCTTGACTCTGCCCATGTTCCAGGACACTGGAGGACAGAGTCCTGGTTTTCTGTTAGGCCTCTCTGTTAAGACTAGTCTCTATCTCTCTCTCTCTTTCTCTCTCTCTCTCTCCCTCCCTCCCTCTTTCTCTATCTCTTCTCCTTCTCTCGTTCAGGTCTCCCGGAGACCTCTGTTTTGGAAAGGGAATAAGAAAACTGTTATAAACTCTGTGTGAATGAGTGCGTGAATGTGGAGTTCAAGGGCTTGCACTTGAATTTCCAGTATGTAGCTCCACGGTGAAAGCTACGGAGTTTGAATGGGCCCTCACCTGCAGTTCCGTGGTGACCTCTTAAGGCTTAAGGCAGCATCAGGCATAGCTCGATCCAAGCCAGGGGTTTATACCAGCCTGCCAATGCTAAGAGGAGCCTAAGTCCCCTCAGGGAGAGTGGCCAGATGGGCATCTGACTGATCCCATCACGGGCCCCCCTTCCTTTGTCTGTCTATTAAAAAATTGTCATAATTGTTTGTATGCCCCAGGGTCTATTGTCTTGTTTGGTAAAATTTCATATGTCAGGTCATCAATACTGCCCTAGACAACTGGGTAAGAACTTCTTCAAGGTCCTCAGTACTGATTTTCTATCACAGGAGGTCAAATTTCTCATCAATCATTTGGGTTGGCCATCCCAGTCCTGCCTTTTCTGTCAGAAACAAATCAGGTGTTGTTATGGGAAAGAGTGTGGGATTTCTGGCACCTTAAAGGTTGCTGGCATTTAGATTGCCATACCCCATGCCCAATTGACTGGACCACCTCCACATTAGACCGGTGGTGGATTCAAAATAGCCACCCCACAGACCTCCTTGCTCATCTTTTCTGTCATCCCATAACTTTTCCCGTGCCCATGGATAAGGCACTGTGCAGAGAAACCTACGCCCATACTGCTGTACTCTGTCCAGAGGTCTCAGGCGTGTCTCTTTGGGCTGTCAGGCCCAGGGGCGAGGCACGCCTCCACCAGTTTACAAAAGAAACAGCCTCCTTCCCCCATGGCAGGGGCTCCCTGACCTGTGGGCAAGGACTGGAGGGTGACGACGCCGGATCCCCTCCCCCGGCACCCCCTCCCCCGGGACCCCCTCAGGTGCCCGGCTCCTTTGCCTTCAGTTGTCAAAGCCCCTGACTTCCCAGAGCACCAGCGCATCCGCACCCAGCTCAGAATGCAAGGGCCCAGCCTGCTGCAGTGAACTTGGTCCCAGGCCAGGCTTCTGAGCTGGGCTTGCAGCGTCTGACAGGGCCTGGAGGCAGGGCGGGGGACCGCAGAGTGGCCCTGGTGACCCAGAGCTGCCCGGCATGGCTCCTCCTAGCCTGGAAAAATCCAAGTGGCCCCTTTTCCTCCTCATTCCCATCCTTTACCCTGCACATCTCATTTTCCTGTGTTGCAGCAAATCCAGTGTCTCCAAGACTTGGTTCTGTCCTCCCTTTTTCAACCCTTAAAAGAAAAGGCCAAGTTTGAACTTTTTGCCTTCAAGTCATGGAGACACCAAAGATATTTAGGCTATAGGACAAAAAGGAGGGGATCACGTAGGTCCCACTGGCCTCAGACCTGCCTCTTGTCCTCCCCCTAGATCTCAAAGCTTAAACAGACCGTCCTTATGTGGCAAGAAGTGTTGACTATGGTTGTTTTCCTTCTTCTTCTGGTTATAATACTTCTGTTCTTCTGATACTGCAGCCCCCCAGGTCTTGAATTTCTCTGTCTGTGCTGGGTTTAATATTTCTGCTGAAACCTTTTTAAATTGCCTCCAGAATGGGAAACTCTTCTTCCCAGCCTCATAAAGATTGGAGCCCTCTCCAATGTATGTTACAAAATTTCTCCCTAGGCTTCTCAGAGAATTATGGGGTCCACCTTAAAAAAGGCAAACTCCAGATACTCTGTGAAGTAGAATGACCACAGTTTGGAACCGTGTGGCCCCCAGAAGGGTCACTGAATCTCACAGCTCTTCAGGCTGTGTGGCGGGTCGTTGCTGGAACTCCCGGTCACCCCGATCCGTTTCCCTACATTGATCAATGGCTGAGATTGGTCCGGAGCCCTCCCCCTTGGCTCCGCTCATGTGCCATTCATAATCTTACCTCCAAGGTCATTTTAAGCGAGACCACACACTTTTGTCCGGATCCTCAGCTCCCTTGGCTCCTCCTGTATTGCCTCCCTCTGAAGAAGAGGAAAGTTTTCCTCACACAGTTCTGCCACCTTATAACCCTCCTGCTCCC
The DNA here is from genome assembly GCF_000001405.40 of Homo sapiens. Lineage (NCBI taxonomy): Eukaryota > Metazoa > Chordata > Mammalia > Primates > Hominidae > Homo > Homo sapiens. Next base: position 223,237 of record NW_025791809.1, on the reverse strand, counting down.
CCAGAATCTCCCCTTGCCTCCTCAACTACATCTCCTGTGGCGTCCCCATCTATTGCCTCCTGATTGTGGCCATGGCAGGAGGAGGTAGCCCCCCTCCTCCCACTGAGAGAGGCACAAATCCCTCCGGGTGATGAGCGCTCAGCTCCATTCTTAGTTTACGTCCCTTTCTCTACTTCTGACCTGTACAACTGGAAGGCTCATAATCCCCCCTTCTTTGAAAAACCCCAGGTTCTGACCTCACTGATGGAGTCCATGCTCCAGACTCACCGGCCCACCTGGGATGATTGTCAGCAACGCCTTTTAACCCTCTTCATCTCTGAAGAGAGGAATTGTATCCGAAGAGAAGCCAGAAAGTATTTCCTTACATCAGCTGATAGACCAGAGGGGGAAGCCCAAAACCTCGTTAAGGAGGTTTTTCCCTCTACCCGGCCTAATTGGGATCCTAACTCCTCGGGTGGGAGGAGGGCTTTAGATGATTTTCACCGGTATCTCCTTGTGGGCCTCAAGGGAGCCGCTCAAAAACCCATAAATCTGTCTGAGACAACTGAAGTTGTCCAGGGGCCTGATGAACCTGGAACACTTTTAGAAAGTCTCCAGGAGGCCTATCAAACTTACACCCCTTTTGACCCGGCAGCTCCCAAGAATAGCCGTGCTATTAATTTGGTGTTTGTGGCTCAGGCAGCTACTGATAGTAAAAGAAAATTACAAAAGCCGGAGGGATTTGCTGGAATGAACAATAGCCAGCTTTTAGAAGTAGCCCAGAAAGTTTTTGACAATCGAGAGTCTGAAAAACGAAAACAGGCAGCTGAGGCAGCTGAAAAAGCTGCTGATAAAGCATCCAAAAGACAAGCAAAAATCTTAGTGGTGGCCATCCAGGAAGCCAAAAAGTAAGGGCCCCCATCACAGAGGAATAGCCAGGGAACCCCGGGTCCCAGCCAAAAGGGCAAGAAAGGTGAGCGGGCTCCCCTGGAGAAAAACCAATGTGCTTATTGCAAGCAGATAGGACACTGGAAGAAGGAATGCCCATTAAAGCCAGAGCAAAAACCAGAAAAGAAAAAGGTCCTCACCCTCCCCACAGCGGAGGAGTCTGATGACTGATGGGACTGGGGCTCCCTTTCACTTGGCCCCCAGGAGCCCATGGTGACCGCTACAGTGGGGGGCCAGCATGTATACTTCCTAATAGATACTGAGGTGGAACACTCAGTACTGCAGACACCCTTAGGCAGTGTCTCTAATAAAAGAGTAGCTGTACAAGGGGCAACAGGAGCTATTCAGGAATATCCTGTCACCCACTCATGATAAGTGAGTTTAGGAAAGAAAAGAGTAACTCACTCATTTCTTGTAGTCCCAGAGTGCCCCCTTCCCCTTCTCAGATGAGACCTGCTCCATAAGTTACAGGCTTCTATCTCTCAGCCCAGCAGGCTCACTTCACGTTAGGGGACACAACGCCCCCTACTGCCCAACTCCTGCTAACTACCCCTCTGTCAGAGGAATATCTTTTGGTTTCACCATCACAACCATTGGAGAATAAAACAAATTCTCTCCTCCTATTAGACCTACAGACTGTTTCCTCGAGTCTGGGCTGAGTCAAACCCCCTGGGATAAGCAAAGCATCATCTGCCAGTAGTTGTAGAACTTCTGGCCACTGCCCTGCCAGTCCAGATAAAACAGTATCCTATGAGTCAGCAGGCTAGAGAGGGGATAAATCTCCATATTCAGTGACTGCTACAAGCTGGCATACTCACACCATGTCAATCCACCTGGAATACTCCATTTTTGCCGGTCCAGAAACCTGGAACAAATGATTACCAGCCTGTGCAGGACTTGAGGGAGGTTAACAAGTGGACAGTTACCATCCATCCAACTGTCCACAATGCTTATACTTTACTCAGCCTGCTCCCACCAGAACATACAGTATACACTGTCCTTGACTTAAAGGATGCCTTCTTTGCTATTCCTCTGGCCCCCAAAAGCCAACCTATCTTTGCTTTTGAATGGACAGATCCTGGCTCAGGAGATACCACCCAATTAACTTGGACTCAGTTACCTCAAGGCTTTAAAAATTCCCCCATCCTTTTTGGGGAAGCCCTCCAACAGGATCTTATACCATTCTGAGCCAGTCACCCCAATTGTACTATTCTTCAGTATGTAGATGACTTATTGGCTACTGAAACTACTGACAGCTGCCTGCAACATACTAGGGACCTACTTTACCTCCTTCAGGTGCTCAGGTATTGGATCTCGGCCAAAAAGGCCCAGCTTTGTCTTCTTAGAGTGTCCTACCTAAGGTACAAGATAAAGAAAGGAAAAAGGGCACTCACCAGTGTGAAGCCATCCTGTGAATCCCCACTCCCACCACCAAGAGACAGACCTTACTATACCTGTCCATGACTGCCAAGAACCGTTGGAGACTACGGAATCTGGCCGACCTGATCTCCAAGAGGTATCTTTAAAGGAGGCAGAAGCCACCGTGTTTAGAGATGGTAGCAGCTTCCTTGAGCAGGGAGTTCAAAAGGCTGGTGCTGCCATCACTACAGAGATGGATATACTGTAGGCCCAAGCACTGCCAGCAGGTGGCTGTAATTCACTGCAAAGGACATCAAAAAGAAGACATGGCCATTGCCCATGGTAACCAAAAAGCAGACTCTACAGCCTAGGAGGCAGCTCGTCTCCCTGTTGCACCTCTGACCCTGCTGCCTGCAGTGTCCTTTCTGCAACCTGACTTGCCAGATCACCCAAAATATTCCCCAGAGGAGGAAAAACAGGCTTCGGATCTTCAGGCCAGTAAAAATCAGGAAGTCTCTCCAACAGGTACAAGACATCATCCAGCCGCTTGTCCGGGGAGCTCACCCCAATCCAGTTCCTGACTAGACGGGGCCCTACCACTCTTTCCAGCCGGGTGACCTCATGTACATTAAAAAGTTCCAGAAAGGACTCATTCCTGCCTGAAAAGGACCTCATACTGTCATCCTCACCACACCAACGGCTCTGAAAGTAGATGGCATTCCAGCTTGGATTCATCAATCTCACATCAAAAAGGACAACAGAGCCCAACAAGAAACATGGGTCCCCAAGCCTGGGCCAGGCCCCTTAAAACTGCCCCTAAGTCAAGTGAAGCCATCAGATTAATTCTTTTTATTTACCTCTATTGTTTGTTTCCACCTATTATGCCTTCTGCCCCATCCTACTCTTTCCTCCTCACTTCTTTCACAGCAGGATGTGTGTTTGCAAACACTACTTGGAAGGCAGGAATCTCAAGGAAGTCTCTTTTACAGTTGATTTATGTACTTTGTTCCCAGAGCCTGCCCATACCCATGAAGAACAATGCAATCTGCCAGTCATAGGAGCAGGTATCGTCGACTTTGCTGTGGAATTTGGACACTCCAGAAGCCAGACTGGATGTGGAAACTCCAAAGGTGCAGAAAAAGGACTTCAGAATGTTGACTTTTACCTCTGTCCTGGAAATCACCCTAACTCTAGTTGTCAAGATTCTTACCAGTTTTTCTGCCCTGACTGGACATGTGTAACTTTGGCCACCTACTCTGGGGCATCAACTCGATCTTCAACCCTTTCCATAGCTCGTGCTTCCCGTCCTAAGCTGTGTACTAGGAGAAATTGCAATCCTCTCACTATAAACATCCATAATCCTAATTTAGCTCAATGGTATTATGTCATGTCATAGGGATTAAGGCTTTATATCCCGGGATTTGATGTTGGAACTATGTTCACCATCCAAAAAAAATCCTCGTCTCATGGAGCCCTCCTAAGCCAATCAGGCCTTTAACTGATTTAGATGACCTTATGTTCCCAAAACATCCAGACAAGGTTGATTTAACTGTCCCACTGCCATTCCTGGTCCCCAAACCTCACCTGCAATGACAGCACCTCCAACCCAGCCTGATGTCCATTCTAGGTGGGGTACATCACCTCCTCAATCTCACCCAGCCTAAACTAGCCCAAGATTGTTGGTTGTGCCTAAAGGACAAACCCCCATATTATATTGGATTAGGAGTAGAAGCCGCACTTAAAATTGGCTCTCTTTCTTGTTGTACATGCCCCCATGCCCTCCCATTAGGAGATACGTCTGGAAACACTTCTTGTCTAATTAGCACCGGATATAACTTATCTGCTTCTCCCTTTCAGGCTACCTGTAATCAGTCTATGCTTACCTCCTTAAGCACCTCAGTCTCCTACCAGGCACCTAACAATACCTGGTTAGCCTGCACTTCAGGTCTCACTTGCCACATCAATGGAACTAAACCAGGACCTCTCCTGTGTGTGTTGGTTCATGTACTCCCCCAGGTCTACGTGTATAGTGGGCCAGAAGGATAACTTCTTATTGCTCCCCCTGAATTACATCCCAGGTTTTGCCGAGCCACCCCACTCCTTGTACCCCTCCTGGCTGGCCTTAGCATAGCTGGATCAGCAGCCATCAGCATGGCTGCCCTGGTTCAGGGAGAAACTGGACTAATGTCCCTGTCTCAACAAGTAGATGCTGATTTAAGCAATCTCCAATCAGCCATAAATATACTACATACCCAAGTAAAATCTCTAGCTGAAGTAGTTCTTCAAAACCGCCGAGGCTTAGATCTGCTATTTCTCTCCCAAGGAGGGTTATGTGCCACTCTAGGAGAGAGTTGTTGCTTCTGTGCCAATCAGTCTGGAGTCATAAAAGATACTCTCCAAAAAGTTTGAGAAAACCTAGACAGGCACCAGCAAGAACGAGAAAATAACACCCCCTGGTACCAAAGCATGTTTAACTGGAATCCATTGCTAACTACTCTAATCACTGGGTTAGCTGGACCCTTTCTCCCCTATTGTTAGGCTTAGTCTTTGAGCCTTGTATGTTAAATTGGTTTCTTAATTTTGTAAAACAACATATAGCTTCTGTCAAGCTTATGTACCTTAAAACCCAATATAACCCCCTGGTTATAACCGAGGAATCAATGGTTTGATTCCCCAAAAACACAAGTGGGGAATGTGATACCCAACCTTGTTTTAACCTGAATTGACTCTCCCTTAGCTGAGAGAGCCAGACAGACTCCATCTTGGCTCCTTCACTTACAGCCCCTTACCCACTCCCTTCCTCAAGGACTTGACTTGACTTGTGCAAGCAGATTCCCAACACATCCAAGGATGCAATTAACTGATAAGATACTGTGGAAAGCTATATCCGCAGTTCCTAGGAATTCATCTGGTTGATAACACCCAAAGCCCCGCATCTGTCACCCTGTGATAGATTTAAAGCCCCTGCACCTGGAACTGTTTGCTTTCCTGTAACCATTTATCCTTATAACTTTTTGCCTGCTTTACTTCTGTAAGATTGTTTTAACTAGACTCCCCCCCTCTCCTTTCTAAACCAAAGTAAAAAAGAAAATCTAGCCCCTTCTTTGGGGCCTAGAGAATTTTGAGCACTAGCCATCTCTCAGTCGCTGGCTAATAAAGGACACCTGAATTCGTCTCAGAGTGTGGTGTTTCTCTGTAACTCACTAGGTTACAACACGTGAGCCCTACAATTATTCCTGCTTACAGTGTAGAAGAAAAATAAGTATATATGGTGACCACCATGGGTATAATTTAGGTGGGATAATAGGAGAGAGGAGAGAGGCAAAGATTTGCAGAAGTATCCATGTAAATCTTTGGCTAAGTCCCGATCTGCACAAGCATGACCAGACACTACCTGAGGTTTAGAAAGGAACCCCTACAAAGCAATATCCCAAACAATTATTTGAGCTCATCCAGGGCTGGGAATTGTATGTTCACCTGCCAGTGTGGAACACCTATTAGTACAGAAAACACCAGATAGAAAGGTATCACCTAAAGAACGGGGCTGACAGACTCAAGGCTGCTCTGGTCTTATACTAAAAAAGTTTAAAACAGAAAGACCTAGTGCCAAGCAGGCAAGAGGAAATCATGCTGCTAAGTAATTTTATTGAATGGCATACCAAGGTCCAACATTGTTTAAAGCAATACAAACAAATACAACATTCAATAATGTAAAATTCAGTATCTGGCATCCAATAAAGAATAACCATGCACACAAAGAAGTAGTGACATAAAAATCATTAACCAGAAGAGTGAATTGAGAAGCACAAAAATGATGAAAATGATGAAATTAGTGGACAAATATGCTGTAAAGCTTTTATAACTATCCAACATTTGTTTTGACAAAAGAATGGGGGAAATAAAACTTGATAATGAGAAATAGTACATATATATATATTTGTGGTTTCCACTCCAACATCTAAAGAGCTTGTTACTCCCGTCCTCAAAACAACAAAAAGTTGAACAAACTGAAAATCAGTAACTCTTCTTAGATCCATCAGAGTATCGAGGCCATAGGGCAAAGCAATGCCCCCCCAAACTGGAGACACAGCAAATATAGGGGATCAGATTTTGAGGACAGAAGCCTCTGGAGCCAGCAACTGACAGGTGAACAGTGATTAACAAATTGCTGGAGGCTAATGGTGGACAAGCCTTAGTCTTAAAAAATCCTGGGAGCCCAGTCTTATCATGGGAGCAGCACCTGTATTTTCATGAGATTTGCCTCCAGGAGACCCACCAGATTCTCCTGATGAAGACTGGAGAACAATTATCTCATGCTTCAAGCAGGAGGAAGGGGAAATAATCATTCTAAGACACACCCAAGGAAACATAAGCATTTTGAAATAAGCCCAGAGTATTCTGTGCTACATAACAAAAGCCTGCCCCCAGGAAACTACTTTACCAAATCGTGTGTGACCTGTGAGAAGAACTAGTCAGTCTGTTCCATCTAGTCTTCCTATCTCAAATAAAGGAAGAAAAGAAAGCTAAGAAATTTTTCTGAAGGTCAGCCCAGGGACTCAGTCTCACTAATAAAACTGAGATGTAATCATGAGATGTAATCATGAGATTCAAAAATGCTGCCTCTCCACAATACCTTATCACCACATCAACAGGTCTGCGGTATAATAACAGCAGATGGGCCAGGTGCAATGGCCCATACCTGTAATCCCAGCACTTTGGGAGGCTGAGGTGGGTGGATCACTTGAGGTCAGGAGTTCGAGACCAGCCTGGCCAACATGCCGAAACCAGGTCTCTACTAAAAATACAAAAATTAGCTGGGCGTGGTGGCATGCATCTGTAATTCCAGCTACTTGGAAAACTGAGGCAAAAGAATCACTTGATCCTGGGAGGCAGAGGTTGCAATGAGCCGAGATTGCACCACTGTACTCCAGCCTGGGTGACGGAGGGATACTTTGTTTCAAAAAATAATAAAATAAATAAAAATCATAATAAACAAAAAACAGTAGATGGTAACTGATAGAGCTGCAAGAGACAGACAGGAATTTCTAGGGAAACCCACAGACAACAGCAGAGACACCAACAAGGATATTAGAGGAAATTTAATCCCCTGAAATCTACTGCTACAGCAAATAATAAACAGCCAAAATTCTAGCCAGATAAACATAAAACCTCGCAGTAAAGTCCTATTAACCTTAGTTCATCTTACCCGATACATCATGTCTGGCTATCAACAAAAATAGCACAACATGATAAAAGGTAAATGCTCTAGACTGAGTTGTGCCCATCCCTCCCCAGCAAATTCATGTTAAAGCCCTAACCCCCAGTGTGATTGTATTGGAGACAGAGACCTTAAAGAGGTCATTAAGGTTAAATGAGGTGTAAGGATGGATCCCTAAACAAATAAGACTACAGTCCTTATAGGAAAAGGAAGAGACACCCAGGGTGTGTGCTCACAGACTGAAGACCATGTCAGGACACAGCAAGAAGGCAGCTGTCTGCACGCCTGCAAGAGAGTCCTCACCAAAACCCAACTCTGCTGACACCTTGATCTAGGCATTCCATCCTCCAGGATTGTGAGCGAATAAATGTCTCTTGTTTATGTCATTCAGTCTGTGGCATTCTGTTAAGAAGAATAACCCAAGAAGACTAATGCAGCAGGAAGAAACACATTATGAAGAGACAAAGCAGCTATCACAACTAGACACTGGGGCAGAGAGGTTGGAATTATCACACCAGGATTTTAAACTATGATTAATATGCTAAGGATTCTAATGGAGAAAGTGGCCAACATGGACGAACACATGTGTAATATAAGCAGAGAGAGGCAAACACAAAAAAAAAAATTAAAAGGAAATGCTAGAAATAAAAAACACTGTAACAGAAATGAAGAATGTCTTCGATGGGCTTATCAACAGAATACAGAAGATCAAGGAAAGAATCTGTGAGTGTGAAACATGTTGATGGAAACTTCTCAAACTGGAAAGCAAAAAGAGAGAGAAGGAGAGAGAGAGGGAGGGAACTGAAACAGAATATCCAAGAACTATGGACAGTTATAAAAGATGTAACATGGGCATAATGAGAATGAATCCTAGAGGAGGAGAGAAAGGAGCAGAAAACCGATTTGAAGTGATAATGACTGAAAGTTTTCCAAACTTACTGACAGACATCAAAAAGCACAGATCAAGGAAGTTGAGAGAAGATCAAGCAAGATTCTGGTAGGACATATATTTGGTCTTTGTCATCAGTTCCTCTCAGAGTGCTGAAACCCCTGGAATGTCCTGAGTGATAGGAGTGTCTTTTGTTATTAATAGTGAGCCCCACTGATGACCCCTGAGTTTATGCTAATGAGGTCCTTAAGGTAGAGCATCTCGATAGCCTCAGGATGGGCTATAAGATATTGATGCTTCATGTAGTTGAATTTCTATTTATAATGGTCAATTGCATTATTCATCACACAATTTAACAATAAAAGTACATGTTCACTTTTCCTTGTTCATGGTCTCTGCATTAATTCAACTCTCCCTCTTCCAACACTCAAACTTTGGGCATTAATTAATATAATACATTTTGCCCAGCTATATATTTTAGTTTATTTTTTCATTTAGTTTATTTCCTATCTTTTAAGTTTTTATTCTTCTCTAAACAGCATAAAATTCCTGATGGATTACTACACCTTAATGCTGTGGTCCCATCCATTGAGGCCTCCATAGCCAATATCCAATATTATTAACATTGCTGATTCTATTCAGTCAAAAACTGGTATATATTTTGCTCTTGTAGATTTGGCTAACATGATCTGTTTGGTGCCAATTTCAACAGCCTCTCTACTGCAATTTATCTCCACCTCTGAAGGCATGCAACATACCTTTCCCAGGCCACCCAGAGGGTACCTTGTTAGCTTTGGCATCATGTACAATATCTGCAGACAAAATCTGAACTGCATCCATCTTTCTTTCTCTAAGAGCACAGGTATGACATGATATTAATAACATGCTCCTTCCAGGAGACTCATTTGACACATTCATTAAGGACACATAAGTCCAATCTTTTAGTACATTTTGGGTTCTGGTGGTTACTTTCTCAGAAAAGCTTCCCTGAACACCTAGCACTTCCACTCCTCCGTCACTGCTTTCTTGTTTTCCACGGCGTGTGTCACTCACTAGCTGATGTACTGTATGTTCACTATATGCACGTGCTCATTGTCTTTTCCTGGTGGGAGGAATCTTTTTTCTTCTTTGTTGTCTATTATAGCTTCAGTACCCAGAGTGGTACCTGGCACCAAATAGATGCTTAGTAAGTAACTGTGGAGTGAATAAGATGAGTAATGAAGAACTGGTGGGGCAGAATCATGGCATGGAAGGTGAAGCTTGCATAGGAGGGGATATGAGTAGCAGATGTACATGTTGGGTGAAGTCTGTTTTCTTGGAAAAAATAGATAATTAGAATTGAAAAACTGGCATGGTGGTACATGTCTGTTGTCCCAGCTACTCGGGAGGCTGATGAGGTGGGAAGATTGCTTGAGCCCAGGGGTGTGAGGCTGCAGTGGGCTATGATTATGTCACTGCACTCCAGCTTAGCAACAGAGCAAGATACTATCTCTTAAAAAAAAAAAACAAAGTAAAGGCTAAAGTGAACTAATGCCAAAAACATTCATTGGTTCATCTTCTAAACACTTATGAAGTACCTGGTAGGAAAAGTTGTACATGGATTGTGGTGTACACTGACACACAGGACTTCATGATCTAGTGCAGTATTGTCTAAGAGAACTTTCTGCAGTGGTGGAAGTGCTGTGCATGTGTACTGGTCAGTACGGTAGCCACCAGCCCCATATGACTATTGAGTACTTGAACTGTGGCTTAAGCAACTGAGGAACTGAATTTTAAATTTTATTTTATTTTTACATTTTAATTAATTTAAATGTAGGTAGCCAAATTGGCTAGTGGCTACTGTATTGAGGACTGCAGCACTGTAGAAAAGTAAGAAAGCATGGGAAATTTAAATAAGTGCTAGGACAAATATCCTATGTTCTTTTGGGGACAGAGATGAGTGAACATTTCAAGCTGCCCGGGCAACTGCAGGGGAAGAAAGAAGCATTCCTGGCTCTAAGTTGTAATGACTTGTCTGTCATAAAGATATGAGAAACGTTATTTTTATTTAGGATAAAGGCAATTAACTAACAGTGTCAACTCCAATTAATGGGTGAATTTAGGACAAATTATGCGTAGCAAATTGAACTGTCAGGTCTTACTTGGATAAGTTATTGTTTATTTGGAAAATGTATGTATTGGATTGTATCTGCTTGGTGATATAAAAGGATGAGTGAGATTTCTTCCTGTCCTTTTAATCTCATTAGTGGATTGCCTGTGACATGCATCAAGGTCTTATTTAATGCTTATTCAGTAATAAAACTCTTTTCTTTCTTTTCTACATCTGTGGAAAGGATTTTCTACCATTGGCAGGAGATTTGAATTTTAATTATTTTCCCAACACCTGACAAAAGTAAATTCTGCCTTTAAAACCAGAGACCAGTGTCACTGGTGAACATGCACGCAAAATATCCAAATAATGTAATACAGTGCTGAATTAACTCTCAGAGCTAAAAAATTACCACAGTAGAGCAGTCTTTCACAAATCAAAGACAGTAATAATGCTATATTAAATGGATGTATTTTTGCACATATAATTTGACTAGTCAATAAGCTATTATTGAATATTTAAGCTTCTAAAGTTTTACTATCTTAAATAATACTTTGAAATGAGTACTATTGAGAGGAATTTCCAAGCACATCTGTGAGCATTTCCTTAGAATATTTTCTTTGAAATGTACCCTTTTGTTCCCCGCTTAGTTTCAGGTCCTAGTTAAGGACTGTCTGTGGCAGGGGTGCCCAACATTTTTGGCACCAGGGATCAGTTTCATGGAAGACAATTTTTCCCCAGAAGTGGGAGGTGTTTGTTTGGGGATGAAACTGTTCCACCTCAGATCATCAGACATTAGTTAGATTCTCATAAGGGGTGTGCAGCCTCGATCCCTTGCATGCACAGTTCACAGTAGGGATTGCGCTCCTATGAGAATGCAGTGCCACGGCTGATCTGACAGGAGGTGGAGCTCAGGTGGTAATGCTCACTTGCCGACTACACACCTCCTGCTGTGTGGCCCAGTTCCTAACAGGCCACAGACCAGTACCAGTCCATGGTCTGGGGGTTAGGGACCCCTGATCTATGACATGAAACCAGCCTTCAGTCTTTTCGCCCAGGGGTCTCATATTTTAGTTATTAAATGTCTATCAGTACAAAGTTTAAGTATATGCCATAAATATATTTTTCTTTTTTATGAATCAGTTATGTGTATGTTTTAGTCCATTTGTGCTGCTGTAACAGAATACCACAGACTGAGTAATTTACAAACAATAGAAATCGACTTCTTGGCCAGGCACGGTGGCTCACACCTGTAATCCCAGCACTTTGGGAGGCTGAGGTGGGTGGATCACTTGAGATCAGGAGATCAAGACCAGCATGGCCAACATGGTGAAACCCCGTCTCTACTAAAAATACAAAAATTAGCCAGGCATGGTGGCGGGCACCTGTAATCCCAGCTGCTTGGGAGGCTGAGACAGGAGAATCACTTGAACCCAGGAGACAGAGGTTGCAGTGAGCCGAGATCGTGCCATTGCACTCTAGCCTGGGCAACAGAGTGAGACTCCATCTCAAAAAAAAAAAGAAAAAAGAAAGAAAAAAAAGAAATTGACTTCTCATGGTTTTGGAGCCTGAGAAGTCCAAGATCAAGGGGGAGGGGTCTGACAAGGGCCGTGTTGCTGTGTGCTTTTATGGTGGATGGGTGGATGGGCAAAAAGAGGAGAGAGGAAAAAGGGGCCTCAGACTCATTTTTTAAATAAGGAACACACTCCCACGATGATGACATTAATCCATTCATGACGGCAGAGCCCTCAAGGCCTAATCGTCTCCTAAAGATCTCACCTCTCAATACTGTTAGAACGGTTATTAAGTTCAATACATGCTTTATGGGAGACACAATCAAACCATAACAGTGTATGTCTATCAGTCTTTAATATAAAGATGTCTTTTTTCCAAACCCATTTTTTATGAGGGTTAGTGGATCATCCTGGTATCCCATTCAAGAGAGAATCGCTTTAGCCTCATTTTTTAATTACTTACCTAGTACTTAAGGTATAAAATATATAACCAAATACTTGACTCTGTGCTGTCAAATGTTAAATGCTGATTTTTAAAAATTCATACAATTCTATAACTTTTAACAAAAAGTTAACTCTACTGAAGCAAAGCTCTCATATTTGTCTCTCATCCTTATTGTATAATAATTCTAAACACATAACTCTCCCCTTTATTATGTAATAATTCCATCTACGTAACTGTCCTATTATTACTTAACTGAGATCACATTCCCAATCTTTGTCACGACTCCTGAATCTTGTTCCATTTCTTCCACAACCAGGCTAATTTTACCTCTTCTTCAGTGACAGAAGAGGCCTGGGCTATGGCTGAGCCTAAATATATTTGCTATTTCAGGTGACATTTAGTGATGTGGCTATAGACTTCTCTCATGAAGAGTGGGCATGCCTAGATTCTGCTCAGAGGGACTTATACAAGGATGTGATGGTCCAGAATTATGAGAACCTTGTCTCTGTAGGTAAGGATATCACCCCTTCCACTCCAACAGGGGACACCTTTCTTTTGCCACCCTGAATTGCTGGAGATTCTCCTAAGTAAACGGCTGAATTCTGTACCATGCTCCCGAGGAAATGTGCAGCTCTGTTGTGCCCTGCCTAAAGCTTATCTTTCCATTTCAATGAACACCCTTCATCCATTCCTGTGGTCCCTCTTTTGATGGCCTCTCATAATAGAAGACCACAGCTTAAACAATTCTATATTCTTCCTGTAAGCAGGTCTTTCCATAACTAAGCCATATGTGATCACATTGTTGGAGCATGGGAAAGAGCCCTGGATGGTGGAGAAAAAACTGTCAAAAGGTATGATTCCAGGTGAGTCATGGTGAATGAGACAAAGGAAGATTTGGTTAAAGATGTTTATAGTGAGTGTGGAGGCATTTTAGGAACACTATCTTCAAATATCTCAAATATTAATGAAAAATTGAGGGATATTTAGCTTAGATTTTCAAAATAATTGTTCCTCTATCCCACATTATTATCTGTATCACTCATGTCATCTAATCAAGGTTAGAGGTTTTTGTCATTATAATAATTCAAATTGTTACTCTATTCATGACAAAGTAAGGCAAATTATTCTTTCTTAAATCTACATAAGAAAAAACAAACTGATACTTTTAGGCTAAGAAAAGCTGACAATTAGATGGAAAATCACTTTTCTAAAGCTGAGCTTTGTAGATGAAATATGAACATATTAGAGGAAGTAAGGAACATATAAAATATGTTCCTAGGAATAATATTTTCTAATGTCCAATAACTGATATGATTCACAGTTTCTTCATAACCTCAGAAGGCCTAAATCTTTGTCAGCTCTAAACAGCACTTAGATTATTTTGTTTTTCCTGCAACTGTTTAATGCAGTAGTATCAATTCTGTATTTTAAGCATGTTAATCTGGCAGCAAATTGAGATTAATGGAAGGTTGGAGAAAAAGGCTATGAGACAAAATGCAATCTTTCATACATGAATATAGGCACAAAGAGATGGCTTGGAATCCAGAATGCCTTCCACATTTTATTTCTGATAGTTTCCTTTTATTCATATACTGTTTTATCTATTATGTATATTTTACCCATTTCTGTTATCACTCCTGCTTCTTCTGTGAACTCTGTATTCTCTGCTCCATTTGAGCATTGTTCAGAAATCACTGAAATATTTGAATTGTCAGAACTCTGTGTTTTCTGGGGGCTTCAATTCTTATCCATTTCTCCTAATTCCACCATAGAAGTTTCTTTTCAAGGAGTAAAAAAAAAGAAAAAAACAGTACTTTGCTTTCTTTATATATTTCAGGTTGGGAATCAAGATGGGAAAACAAGGAATTATCAACAAAGAAGGATATTTATAAGGAAGATTCACTCCAAACAGTAACAATAGAAAAAGTTTTAAAACAAAGTTATGAATTTTCAAATTCTACCAAGAATTTGGAACACATAGAAAAGTTGGAAGGGAAGCCTGGAATTCATGTAGAACATTTCAGACCAGCAACTCTCACCTCTAGAGAAAGCCCCACTGGGGACAGTTACAAATATGACACATTTAGAATCACCTTTCATTCAAAGTCTACTCTTTCTGAACCATAAAAAAATTCTGCTAAAGGGAATTCACACAAATACAATATATTAAAGAAGAATTTACCAAAAAAGTCAGTTGTAAAAAATGAGAGACTCAATGGTGGAAAGAAACTCTTGAATTCTAATAAAAGTGGAGCAGCCGTTAACCAGAGCACCTCTCCTCACCACACTTATAATAGAGAAAGTCTATACATCTAGGGAATGTGGGAAAGCCTTTGGCAAACAGTCAATCCTCAATCGCCACTGGAGAATTCATACAGGAGAGAAGCCCTGTGAATGTCGTGAATGTGGGAAGACTTTTAGCCACGGCTCATCCCTTACACGACATCAGATAAGCCATAGTGGAGAGAAACCTTACAAATGTATTGAATGTGGGAAGGCCTTTAGCCATGGCTCATCACTTACTAACCATCAGAGCACTCACACTGGAGAGAAACCATATGAATGTATGAACTGTGGAAAGTCTTTTAGGCGTGTGTCCCATCTTATTGAACATCTAAGAATTCATACGCAAGAAAAACTCTATGAGTGTCGTATATGTGGAAAGGCCTTCATTCATACGTCGTCTCTCATTCACCATCAGAAAATCCATACTGGAGAGAAGCCTTATGAATGTAGAGAATGTGAGAAAGCTTTCTGCTGTAGCTCACACCTTACTCCACATCAAAGAATTCACACTATGGAGAAACAATATGAATGCAACAAATGTCTGAAAGTCTTTAGTAGCCTCTCATTTCTTGTTCAGCATCAGAGTATTCATACTGAAGAAAAACCCTTTGAATGTCAGAAATGCAGGAAATCCTTCAACCAGCTTGAATCACTGAATATGCATTTGAGAAATCACATTAGATTGAAATGTGATTTCTATCTAATGAATGCCATATATGTGGGAAAGCCTTTAGTCATAGGTCATCCCTGCTTCAACATCACAGAATTCATACTGGAGAGAAACCTTACGAATGTATTAAATGTGGGAAGACCTTCAGCTGTAGTTCAAACCTTACCGTACATCAGAGAATTCATACTGGAGAAAAGCCATATAAATGTAGTGAGTGTGGGAAAGCTTTTAGCAAAGGCTCAAATCTTACTGCCCATCAAAGAGTACATAATGGAGAGAAACCCAATAGTGTGGTAAGTGTGGAAAAGCCTTTAGACTATATGAATCACTATACATGTGAGAAATCTTACAGAAGAGAATGTATATGAAGCAGTGTTTATCATGGTAAAGTTCATTCATAGATCCTCATTTAACATCAGAAAAAATTATACTGGGGAAAAGTTTTATGAATGTAGTGAATATGGGAAGACTTTCAGCAATGATTCAGATGTTTTTATTTTTCAGAGTTTATACTGTAGAGAAATCATATGAAGACCATAAATGTGGGAAAGCCTTTGTCAGTATTAACCCCTTAATTGACATAAGTATACTCACACTAGGATAAAACCCTGTACATATAGCAAATGTGGGAAAGACTATAGACAATAGGAATCTTTTACAAACTCCTACAGGAGAGAAGCTGTATGAATGTAGAAAATTTAGAAATTGAGGGAAGACTTCAGTTCCAAGTGCATCCCTTATTTTACAAAGAACTCAAACTGGAGAGAACTCTCATTTAAGAGATGTAGCCAAGTGTTCACTAAGAGTGTTTATCTTGCTACACATCAGAAGATTAATGGAAGAACAACCTGAAAGTTTTAGGAATTACGTGTAAATCTTTGCAGTGATGCTATTTGTAAACAGGGTTCTACAGGAGAGCAAATAAATGTCATTATGCATTTCTTAGAGCAGTAGCTTGCAGTTTCAGTTGAGTTCTACTTAGAAATTCTTTTTAGCTAGTGGGCATGTGAAGATATTTAGTCACCCAGAGGAGCCAGTAAATGTTATAATGTTAAAAATTAAAGCTGCAAAAGAAATAAAATGGTGTGAATAAAGGTTTTGGTATCTAATAAAATCATTTTGTATCTCACGTACTCTTTCTCTGTGACTATTTCTGGCAAAAAAATTTCACTAAGATTAGCCTCAGTATAGCCTTTAGTGGGAGACAAGCAAACCTAAAGAAAAACACCTGCTCTTTTTACTAAGAATAGCGGTATTTTGGTGAGGATTATTCGGAGTCCATTTCCAGTGGGCTTACTACATTTCAAGAAAATTTACTGAGCATCACTCGTGTGTATTACACAGCAATGGGATACAGGAATCCAGTAGTTCTGAGCTTTAGTGGTGTGTCAGAATCACTAGGGGGCTTGTTAAAGCACAGATTGCTTTAGCCTCAAGCTAGCCTCAGTTCTAGGTTCTGTATGAGTTGATTTGAATTTGCATTTTTCACACATTCTTAGGTGACAGTAACACTGTTTTGTCCAGAAAGCACATTTTGATAACCATTGTAATAATTAACAAATGTGGTCTTTTTCTCACAGAGACATTATCTGACAAGAGAAATGGATAGCAAATAAATTTGAAATAATCCTTTACAAGTGCTATGAGAAAATAACTAAGAAACAACATACTACAAGAGATCAGAGCAGGCTTAGCTGGATGTGATTTTTGAAATGAATCTTAAATGATGAACACTAATTATGTAATGAGTACTACTCATGTAGCCATGTGCATCCCTGTGTGTGCCTGTGTGTGTGTGTATGTGGTGCACAGGGTGTTATTCTAGGTAAAGTGGATAGTCAAGTTCTGTCATACTTGCTGCAGCTGGATTCCATGTTCCCATGTCTAGTTTCAGATTCTGTGGCTTTGAGGTAGTGCCGCTGGCAGCATCATTGGTTTCAGCAACTGTCATTTCTCCATCTCTGGGTCATAGTTATAGGAGTTTACCTTGAAATCACTAGTCCAGAAGTGTTCCCATTACTTTTACAGCCCACCTACCAATTTTGAAATCACTGATTTACTGCAATATATGTCTTGAAATAGTTAAGAGAGTTTTTGTTCTCTGCACTGAAACTTGACAGATAGTTATGGTTT
Organism: Homo sapiens; assembly: GCF_000001405.40. Classification (NCBI taxonomy): domain Eukaryota; kingdom Metazoa; phylum Chordata; class Mammalia; order Primates; family Hominidae; genus Homo; species Homo sapiens. The sequence goes on along the minus strand of NW_025791809.1, from coordinate 205,707 downwards.
GTAAGTAGGGAGGATGGCTTCAAATATTCTAAGTTCTAGATAAGAAATGGGGCCAGGCGTGGTGGCTCATGCCTGTAATCCCAGCACTTTGGGAGGCCCAGGCGGGTGGATCACCTGAGGTCAGGAGTTCGAGACCAGCCTGGCCAACATGGAGAAACCCCGCCTCTACTAAAAATACAAAATTAGCTGAGGATGGTGGCACATGCCTGTAATCCCAGCTACTCAGGAGGCTAAGGCAGGAGAATGGCATGAACACTGGAGGTGGAGCTTGCAGTGAGCCGAGATCGCACCACCGCGCTCCAGCCTGGGCGACAGAGTGAGACTCCGTCTCAAAAAAAAAAAAAGAAAAAAAAAGGAAATGGAACGGTCTCACTGGCCCTGTGATTAGAATCCTATCTTGTGATTAGAAAGGTAATGCAGATCAATTTGATTTGGAGTGTATGGACACTGATGTAAGTGAAGGGCTGTGATATGGATTATGCTTCAGATTTTGTTCACTATGGCAGGTGAGAATCATAAGATATGTTATTTTTAAAAGGAACATTATGTTATACATACAATAATTCTGGTGTGGAATGAGTGATAAGGTTTCTGACTTTCAACAAAACATATCTCCTCTGATACATGTACTACCTTAACTGAAAGCTAAAAGCATAGAGGCATATTCCAATAGCACTTTGGAATAGAGACAGTAGGTTTGGAATGGGGTGGTAAATTTTTACTATTCTGCAGGGATTTTATCTTTCATTTGATTTAATTTTAATCCTGAAATTTATATTGAAATTCTATGAAACATTGAGGGATCTTAGACTTATAAGTAAGGAAGGGCCAGGTGCAATGGAACATATCTGTAATCCCAGAAATTTGGGAGGCTGGGGCAGGAGGATTGTTTGAAGCCAGGAGTTCAAGACCAGCCTGGGCAACATAGCAAGACTCGATCTCTAAAAATATATATTTTTTAATTACCCAGGTGTAGGCATATGCCTGCAGTCCTAGCTATTCAGGAGGCTGAGTGGGGAGGGATTGCTTGAGTACAGGAGTTTAAGGTCACAGTGAGGCATCATCACACCACTGCTTTCCAGCCTGGCAGCAGGACACCACTCTGACTCCAAAGTAAATATAACTAAGGAAGCATGACGTGGTATCAAACTGCTGTAATTATGGATAGTCTGGCTACCACATATATACTTATGGGATAATGACAGTAGCTTTCTTTTCTCTCATTCTCTGTCCTTCTTCAGCTCTCCCAAGGAACTGGTACCACAAAGATGAAGTAGTCCTATAATGCCCAGATTTTTTTTGTTTCCACTACACATAGTTTTATGCCACCATGTCACTTTGTTATGACAGGATTCATCCAAAGACCTGTGCTTTGTCATTTAAAAAGCATGAGCATACACATAATAATGCTTTACATTTCTGGAATTAAAGTGCCTTCACAATAACAGAATTAGGAAAAAGAAGGCCATCTTTTTTTTTTTTTTTTTTTTTTTGAGATGGAGTTTCACTCTTGTTGCCCAAGCTGGAGTGAAATGGTGCAATCTCAGCTCACTGCAACCTCCACCTCTCGGGTTCAAGCAATTCTCCTACCTCAGCCTCCTGAGTAACTGGGATTACAGGCATGTGCCACCACACCCAGCTAATTTTTTGTATTTTTAGTAGAGACAGGGTTTCACCATGTTGGCCAGGCTAATCTTGATCTCCTGACCTCAAGTGATCTGCCCGCCTCGGCCTCCCAAAGTGCTGGGATTACAGGCATGAGCCACCACACCCAGCCAGAAGGCCATATTTTTAAATTAAGATATGAAGCTTTTAAGAGCAATAAGAGACCATGACTTTGTTATGATAGAAGGTTGGGCTGATGTCATAATGATGTTACGATGTCACTGACATCATATTATTTCCTCAGTCATACCTATTAACCATTTCTTAAGCATCCACTGTGGACCTAATAGATAAACAATGCATACCCTTTAATAGCTCCAAGGTGTGTGTGTGAAGAGCATTAAGCTTTGGAGTCATGTTACCTGGGTTTAAATCCAAGTTGCATGTATACTGGCTTTGTGTGACCTTGGACAAACTACTTCACTATGTCATGCCTCAGTTTCTCCATCTATAAAATGGTAATAAAGCTATCTCACAGCATTATTATGAAAATTAGATGAGTTAATTGATGCAAAGTGTTTACAACAATGCCTGGCCTCTTAATAGCATTCAATAAGTATTAGCTATTGATTTCATCATCATTGTCTTCTCATGGTTGCTTCATCATTCTGGTCTCAGATGTCACATCTAATCACTTGTCGCTCTTATGTATTTACTGTTTCACATTTTTGAGGGAGCTCTTACAAAATGCACCCATTTCCTTACAACAAATCCTTTAGTATCTGAGCCATTTTGAGGGAATGTTTCTCGCCCAAAATAACCTGAGGGGAAACAAAGAGACCAGATAGGAGATGAGATGAGAATTCAGCAGGTCTGTGAGAAGGAAGGACGGTGCCCTACAGAGCTGGAAAAAAGGCCAACTGAAGGAGGCTGTCAGGCTTCACATAGAGGAAAGGGGAGGCTTTACCCATGGAGACCAGAGGACTACAGGTCTTCAGCATCATCTCTGAGTACAGAGTCCCATGGACTGGGTGCCACTGCCCTCACTCTTCCTGAGTAGAGGTTACAGCCTGTCATTGAAGATCACCGATGCCTGGAAAGTCAAAGTTTCCTTGTTAGCCTTGGGCCAGTCAAATGTGATTAGAGCTCAGTTGTTGGTAAACATCTAGAAAGAATCAAGGCACATATCACTGAGCACTTCCTGGACGCTTAATTCTTTGCTGTTGAGGGGGAGTCAGTCTTTAAACAAATTGCAATTGTGTTAGAGGAAAAAAGCTGTATATGCAGAAGTAATTGATGCAAGATACAAGACAATGACAAGGCCATATGGTTCTGTGTTCTGACTGTGGATTGGTGCTTCTGATCTTGTGGGCTTGTGGGCTTGTAGGCTAGTCATCATTGTTTCAACCCCCACTGGATGAAGTGACTTTCAGGAGATTTTAAAGACTTGCACCTATTTTTTTTAATTCAAAAACAACTACATATACAGAAGAATTCAGAAAGCCGCCTCACATGCTCATGGAAAGATACAAGCACTGAAAAAACCTTCTTCAGCTTTTATTTTAGGCTGATCTCTGGTGCACAGTTATCTCATAATAATACAAACAAAGGCAAAAGTGCAGCAAATCCAGGGGAAGGGGGGAAATATGATTTCCAGAGATATCATATTGTAAGATTCAAATGTCCAGTATTCAACAACAACAAAAACCTGAAGGCATGCCAAAAAACAGAAAAGTATGGCCCAATTAAAGGAACAAAATGAATTGACAGAAAACATACTTGAGGCAGCCCAGATGTCAGACTCACTATAAAAAGACAACTGTCTTAAAGATGCTTTAAAAGCTAAAGAAATATATGAACAAAGGAAAAAGATGTATGAGCAAACTGAGGATAGAAATAATGAGATGAAATGATTTTTTAAAAGAATCAAAAAATCTGGATAAAAAATTACAGTAACAGAAACAAAAAATATGAATACAATAGAGGGATTCAAAAGATAAGCAATTAGAGGAGAGATTCAGCAAACTTAAAAATAGGACAAATATAAATTATCAACATGAAAAAGAAGAGTGAACAGAGCTTAGTGGAACTGTAGCACAACATCAATTTGGGAATCCTTGAAGGGGAAAAGAGAGAAAGGGGCAGAGAAACTATTTTAAGACATAATGGCTGAAAAATCTCCAAATTTGATGAAAGACATGAATTTGCAATCCAGCAAGCAGAATGAACTCTTAGGTAGGAGAATTGAAAAGAGACCCATACTGAGACACATAATCAAATGTCAAAAGCCAAAGACAGATAATCTTGAAAATAGCAAAAGAGAAGCAACTCCTGTCATACAAGGGATCCTCAAGACTATCAACCAGGGTCTCATCAGAAACCCTAGAAGCCAGAAGGAAGCTGATCAATAAACATAAAGTGCTGAAGAAAAAAAGCTGTCAATAGAGAGTTTATATTCAGCAAAATGCTCTTGAAAAATTAGGGAGAAATTCACATATTCCCAGATAAACAAAAGCTGAGGCAGTTGATTATCACTAGACATGTCCTGAAAAAAAAATGCTGAAGGAAGTCTATCAGGTTGAAATTAAAAGAAGCCAGACTGTCACTCAAAGCCATATGGAAAAGTAAAGTTCACTAGTAAAGGTAAATACATGAGGAATTATAAAATGTAATACTATTATAGTTTTGGTTTGTAACTCCACTTTTTTTTTATCTTCTACAGGATTGAAAAGACAAATGCATAAAAATAGTTAGCCTGTTATTGGGAACACAATGTATAAAGATCTAATCTGTAGCATCAATAATGGGAAGTGGTGGGGGTAGACTTGCAGAGTCAGGACTGGTCTCTACCTCACCTAATTCAGATCTCAGACAGCAAGAAGCATCAAATACTACTTGGGAAAGCTGCAAGGACACTAAGACCTGTAGACACATAGAGTAAAAGAATACAGGTGGAGATATGTATACACCATCTAAGTCTCCAAGACAACCCAGGGGGAGACTCTTTGGAAAAATAAGACATTTAAAAGCAGCTGTGTATACAGAGGGATTGAAAAAAACACACACAGACCCAACCAAGAGATATGCTCAGAAAATACCCAAGAACCTTAAGCTTTTTCCTCATACTGATCCCAAGGCACAGAACATTCCTAGCTAATTATTAAAGGACTTTCCTGAAACAGACCCAGTATACAAAGACTGAGAGATGTGGCTGTTGTTTTCAAATGCCCAATTTTCACTTAAACAATCACAAGGCAATCAAAGAAATAGAAAAAACATTGTCCATTCAAAAGATGAATACAAAGTGGCACAAATCATCTCTGAAGACAGGCATTGGGTTTACTGGACAAAGACAACTGTGTTAAATATGCTCAGATATTAAAGTAACTGTATTAACGGTATTAAATGGGCTCAGATACATAAAGGAAACACAAAGAACTAAATGATATCAGGGAAATGATTTAAAACAAAATGAGAATATCAACAAAAAGATATAGATACTATAGAAAGGAACCAAACAGATATTGTGAAGCTGAAAAATATATTAATCTATTAGTCAAGATGAAAAAATTAGGAGTTCAACAGCAGACTTCAGCAGCCAACTTGAAGATAAGACATTTTAAATGATCAGATCTCAGCAATAGAAAGTAAAAAGAATGAAGAATAGTGAATAAAACCTAAGGAACTTATGGGAAACCATCACTGGACCAATATATGTATTATGGGATTCCCAGGAAAATAGAGAGAGAAGGTAGTAGAATTACTTTAAGAAATGTTGACTGAAAACTTCTCAAATTTGAGGAAACACATGAATGTGTAGATTCGATACGTTAGTGAACTCCAAGTAAGATAAACCCACTGAGATACATAATAGTGAAATGCCAAATGACAGAATCTTGAAAGCAGTAAAAGAAAAGTAACACATCACCTGTAAAGGATCCTCAATAAGATCATCAAGTCATTTCTCAGCAGAAACCCTGCACTCCAGAAGGAAATGGTATGATATATTTAAAGTGATATAAGGAAAAACCTGTTAATTAAAAATACTATGTCTAGCACAATGGTCCTGCAAAAGTGGGGAAAAATGAAGACATTATCAGATAAGCAAAAGCCATGAATGTTCATTACCAGTAGACTTACCCTATGAGAAATACTAAGGGTCATTCAGATTGAAATGAAAAGACACTAGACAGTAATTCAAACCTATGTGAAGAAATAAAGTTCTCTGGTAAGTATATGGACAGATATAAAAACCAATATTATTGGCCGGGTGCAGTGGTTCACGCCTGTAAATATATATACATATATATATATATATATATATATATATATATATATATATATATGTAAATATATAAATATATAAATGAATATATTTATATATATTCATTTATATATTTACATATATATACATATGTATGTAAATATATATAATTTAATTTTGCTTTGTAACTCGTTTTTATTTTTGACACAACTTAAAAAGACAAATGCATAAAAAAATTATAAACCACAGAAAGACAAATACCATATAATCTCACTTATATGTGGAATCTAAAAAAGTCAAACTCATGAAAGTAGAGAGTAAAATGATGGTTAATAGGGACTAAGGGGTCCCAAGTTGGTCAAAGGATACACAACCTCAGTTAGATGGGAGAAATAAAAGAGAGCTATTGCACAACATGATGACTACAGTTAATGCATTATATTCTTGAACATTTCTGAGAGTAAATTTTAAGTGTTCTTACCACAAAAAAGGATAAGTATATGAGGTAGTGTAATATCCCTCAAGATATTTCCTAATTTACCTTGTGATTTCTTCATTGACCTATCTGTGATTTGAGTGTGCCATTTAGTTGCCATATATTTGTGAATTTTACTGTTTTCTGTCTGCTATTTGTTTCTAGTGTTTCATTACATTGTGATCAGAAGATACACTGTATGATTTCAATCTTTAAAGTTATTAAGACTACCTCTCTCTGGTCATTGTGCCTCAAAGATGACAAAGAAAAGAAAGAACAACAATCATGCCAAAAAGGGCCGCGGCCACATGCAGCCTATTTGCTGCATGAACTGTGCCCGATGCATGCCCAAGTACAAAGCCGTTAAGAAACTCGTCACTGGGGCCAGGTGCAGTGGCTCATGCCTGTAATCCCAGCACTTTGGGAGGCCAAGGTGGGCAGATCACGAGGTCAGGGGTTCGAGACCAGCCTGCCCAACATGGTAAAACCCCATCTTTACTAAAAATACAAAAAATTCGCCTGGCGTGGTGGCAGGAGTCTGTAATCTCAGTTACTTGGGAGGCTGAGGCAGGAGAATCGCTTGAACCCGGGAGACGGAGGTTGCAGTGAACCAAGATTGTGCCACTGCACTCTAGCCTGGGTGACAAGAGCGAAACTCCGTCTCAAAAAAAAAAAGAAAAAAACTCATCATTTGAAACATAGTGGAGGCCGCGGCAGTCAGGGACATTTCTGAAGCAAGCACCTTCAATGCCTATGTGCTTCCCAAGCTGTATGTGAAACTACATTACTGTGTGAGTTGTGCAATTCACAGCAAAGTAGTCAGGAATCGATCTCATGAAGCCCGCAAGGACCCAACACCCCCTCCCCGATTTAGACCTGCGGGTGCTTCCCCATGACCCCCACCAAAGCCCATGTAAGGAGCTTAGTCCTTAAAGACTGAAGACAGACTATTCTCTGGGGAAAAATAAAATGGAAATTGTACTTAAAAAATAAAATTATTAAGACTTGTTTTGTGGCCTAATATGGTCTATCCTAGAATAGGCAAATTCATAGAGACAAAAATTACAGGTTACCAGGGGCTAGAGGCAGAGAGGAAGGGAGAATTTTTGTTTATTGGATACAGAGGTTTGGTTGGGGATGATGAAAAGTTCTGGAAATAGATAATGCTAGTGGATCCACAAGCTTGTGAACGTACGTAATGCTCCTGAATTGTACACTTGAAAATAAAGTGGTAACATTTATGTTATGCATATTTTATTACAATAAAAAATGAAATGAAAAAACCCTATACACTGCCTTTCTTTTTATTGGGAAATTAGATGCCTCATCTTTTATTCTAATAGCAGTTTGGCAAGAGGGAGGGCCCCAACCATGTAAGTTAATGTATTTCTCAGGGTAATTTTCAGAGTGCCTCAAACCATACCTGCTAAGCTTAATCTCCCTCGAAGCTGAGACAACCTATTTCTATTAGAACCCACTAGTATAGAAAGTCAATGGAAATTACATGGCAAGATTGGAACATGTCAAGAAAAAGGTAGACAGGACAAAGTGTGTAAGTGCTCACCACTTACACTGAGAAGAATGTGACTTTCTGGAAGGTGGTGGATCCCAATGTATAAACAAATTGCTTAATTATTTGCAGCTTTACTTCTCCCTTAAAAATTTATTTTAGTAAAAATAATAGTACTATACAAAATTACTCATTGACAATTAGTCATTATTTATGTGACTGAAAATCTGCAATTATCTGTCACTGACCTTGGTTTGCTAATTTTGTAGTTATTTAAATCAGTTTAATATGAAATATACCAACCCATTTCCTGGTTGTAAAGCTTGGGAGAATTGAAGCAATGAAATAAAGTCCAAGACATAAACACAGGAAATGTTCAGAGAATATGTAAATTTTTATAGTAAGTGAATAAATCACTTATTACATTAAAATGTGTGGTCTCCATACCAGCAACATCAGCAGTACCTGGAAACCTGGAAGAAATGCAAATTCCTTGGAGGTTGCTCCTGGCAGAGAAGATATCTGAACAAAGGCCTGGCAGCTCAATGGACTAGGCTTTAGGGAGATCTGTTGGGTGGAGGTAGTTTGGGGTATAGTTGGAGAAGCATTCATCATGGCAGGGGAAGGGTTGGAACCTAAGGAATCGTTCCAGACACACTAGGAGTTTGGATTTCATACCAAGAGTAAAAGGCAACTTGGAAACAAAGGGGCATCCTCTTCATGCCCTAGGGACAGGTTGGGTCATAAATAAGGAAACCAGTATTGGTCATAGCTATGGCATACTGAAGGGTGGGTCTCCCCTACAGGGTACACTGTTGCAGGCATCCAGCCACTACTGTATAGTCTTCCAGTCTCTGTAGGAACCATGCCTGGAGCTATTATAAAATTGCCCAGATTCACCATGGTGGAAACTGATTCATACTTTTAGGTACAAACCCTTAGGGGAGCCTTAACCCACACCTCTAAGCTGGAGGTAGATGCCCAGGAAGTACCTGGTTAGAAACAGAACTCGAGGGGCTTGGAAGGGTAAAATCCTGAAGTCAAAGGACAGCCTGTTTTACAAGATGTAAAGGTTCTTTTTATGGTGGGATATAACATGCTGACACTCAGACACATGAAAAGCAGAACGCTTGGTTACTTACAGCTCCAAAGGGGAGAAGGCTGTCAGGCAAGGGTATGCAGGGGGTTGCACCCAGGGACAGGGTAACAGTAAGGAATAACTGTAGAGGGCTGCTTATGTATGGCAAGCAGGGTTAGTGGAGCTAGTTAGGTTTCAGGCTCCCTGTGGATTGATGAGTTTGAACAATTTCACAGGTTTCAGGGAATAGGGGTCATCCCTAGCTGTCTGGTACCTGGCCCTGGGGTGATTAGAGCTTGTGCATAGTGACCCAGAATGTGAGAGCCCATTAAAGGGAACTCACCAGCCTCTTGCCAGGGCTTCAAAACTAGATCAAGATAGCATTAAAAACAAAAAAAAGGTCACATATGGTGGCTCATGCCTATAATCTCAGCACTTTGGGAGGCCAGGGCAGATTACCTTAGGACTGGAGTTCAAGACCAGCCTGGGCAAAAAAGGGAGATCCTGTCTCTACAAAAAAAATAAATAAATAAACAAACTGAACTCTATTATGTAGCCCTGGGATAGAAGCTCCAGCTTGGCTTGTGAAAGCTTCTGAAAATTTCCACATGAAAAGGAGATATTGACAAAAGTATAGGGGAAAGAGAACTTGATAACGAGAAATAGAAAATATAGATCTAGACTTCTGGTTTCCATTCCAGCATGTAAAGAGCTTGTTACTCCCATCCTCACAACAACAAAAGGTTGAACAAACTGAAAATCAATAGCCCTTCTTAAATTCTTCAGAGAATTGAGTTCATAGGGCAAAGCAATGCCCCCCAAACTGGAGAGACAGCAAATATAGAGGATCAGATTTTGAGGAGTGGAAGCCTTGGGAACCAGCAACTGATAGGGACAGGTGAACAGTAATTAAATTGCCGGAGGCTAAGGGTGGACAAGCTTGAGACTTAAAACCTGGGAACCCAGTCTCATAATGGGGTCAGCACCCATACTTTCATGAGATTTTTCCTCCAGGAGACACACAAGATTCTCATGATGAAGACTGGAGAAAAATTATCTCATGCTTCAGACAGGAGGAGGGGTGAAAATAATCATTCTGAAACACACCCAAGGAAACAAGCATTTTGAAGTAAGCCCAAAGTATCCTGTGCTATATAACAAAAGCCTGCCCTCAAGGGAAACTACTTTACCAAATCATGTGTGATCTGTGAGGAGAACTAGTCAGTCAGTCCCATCTAGCCCTCCTATCTCAAACAAATTGAATCTGTAATAAAATGTGTCCTATCAAAGAAAAGCCTAGATGCCAATGGCTTTACTGCAGAATTCCACCTAACATTTAGGAGAAAATAATAGTAATTCTTCTCAAACTCTTCCAGAAAATTGAAGAGTAGGGAATACTTCCAAATTCATTTTGCAAGACCAGCATTATCCTGATACCAAAACCAGAGGAGCACACAGCAAAAAAAAAAGAGAGAGAGAGAGAGAGAAAACTATAGGCCGATATCCCTGATACATGTAGATGTCAACATCCTCCACAAAATACTAGCCAACCAAATTCAGCAGCACATGAAAGTGATCATTCCCATGACCAAGTGGGATTTAACCCAGGATGCAAGGATGGTTCCAGATACACAAATCAATAAGTGGGACGCACCACATCAACAGAGTGAGTACAAGAACCATATGATCATCTTGATTGGTGCAGAAAAAGCATGATAAAATTCAGCAGCCCTTCATAGTAAAAGCTCTTAACAAACTGGGTATAGAAGGAATGCAGCCCAACACAAGAAATCAATGTATGGCAAACACACAGCTAACATCATAGTGAATAACGAAAAGTACAAAGCTCTTCCTCCAAGATCTGGAACAAGCCAAGAATGTCCATTTCTACCACTTTTATTCAATGTAGTGCTGGAAGTCCTAGCCAGAGCAATTAGGCAAGAGAAAGAAATAACGGGCATCCAGACTGGAAAGTAAGATGTCAAATTGTCTCTGCTTGCAGAGGACATCATCTTATGTACAGAAAACCCCAAAAGCACCACCAAACTACTCTTAAACTGACCGATGAATTTATTAAAGGTGCAGGATACAAAATCATCATACTAAAACCAGTACCATTCCTGAACATCAACAACAAATTAGAAAAGAAAGAAATTAAAGAGCAATCTCGTATAAAACAGCTACCAAAAAAAAAGCTTCAGAATAACTATAACAAAGGAGGTGGAAGACCTCCACCAAAAAAACTATAAAATACTGAGGAAACCAATTGAAGAGGACACTAAAACATGAAAAGATATTCCATGCTCATAATTGGAAGGATCACTATTGTGAAAATGACCATGTTGCCAAAAATGATCTGCAGATTCAATGCAATCCCTATCAAAATATCAATGATATTGTCACAGAAATATAAAAAATAATCCTGAAATTTATATGAAACCACAAACGACTCTGAGCATCCAAAGCAATCCTGAGCAAAAAGAACAAAGCTGGAGGCATAGCATGACTTGACTTAAAAATAGGCTACAAAGTTAGAGTAAACAAAACAGCATAGTACTGGCATAAAAACAGACACACAGACCAGTGAAACTAAATAGACAACTCAGAAGTACGTCCAAGCATTTACAACCAACTGATTTTCAACAAAGGCAGCAAGAACATTTATTGGTTCTTTACATTTCCTGGAAGAGCTTTGTACTTTTCCCTATTCACTATGATGTTGGCTGTGGGTTTGCCATACACTGATTTATTGTACTGGGCTACATTCCTTCTATACCCAGCTTCTTAAGAGTTTTTACTATAAAGGGCTGTTGAATTTTATCACGCTTTTTCTGCACCTACTGAGATAATCATATGGTTCTTGTACTCATTCTGTTGATGTGATGTGTTACATGTATTGATTTGAAACAAGGCAAGAACGTCCATTATCACCACTTTTATTTATTTATTTATTTATTTTTGAGATGGAGTCTCGCTCTGTCACCCAGGCTGGAGTGCAGTGGCACGATCTCGGCGCACTGCAACCTCCGCCTCCCGGGTTCAAGCGATTCTCCTGCCTCAGCCTCCAGAGTAGCTGGGATTACAGGCATGTGCCACCACACCCAGCTAATTTTTTGTATTTTTAGTAGAGACGGGGTTTCACCATGTTAGCCAGGATGATCTCAATCACCTAACATCGTGATCTGCCTGCCTTGGCCTCCCAAAGTGCTGGGATTACAGGCATGAGCCACCGTGCCTGGCCTGTCACCACTTTTATTTGACATAGTACTGGAAGTCCTAGCTAGAGCAATTAGGCAAGAGAAAAAAAAACTTGAATGAATGATGCCTGGAACATTAAATATCTGTATGCCGAAAAATGAAACTAGACCCCTATATCTCACCATATTAATAAAATCAACTCAAAATAGCTTACAGACTTAAATTAAGAGCTGAAACTATGGAACTACTCGAAGAAAGCAGGGGAAATGCTTCAAGACATTGATCTGGGCAAAGATTTTGTGGTGAAGAACTTGAAAGCACAGGAAACAAAAGCAAAAATAGGCTAATTGGATTACATTAAACTAAAAAGCTCCTGCACAGCAAAGAAAACAATCAACAGAGACAAGAGACAACTTGCAGAATGGGAAGAAAACTGCAAACTATTCATTCAACAAGGGATTAATATCCACAATATATGAGAAACTTGAACAATTCAATGTCAAAAAAAATACAAATAATCTGATGTAAAAATGGACAACTTGGCCAGGTGCAGTGGCTCATGCCTGTAATCCCAGCACTTTGGGAGGCTCAGGTGGATGGATCACCTGAGGTCAGGAGTTCAAGACCAGCCTGGCCAACATGGTGAAACCATGCCTCTACTAAAAATATAAAATTAGCTGGGCGTGGTGGCCCGTGCCTGTAATCCCAGCTACTCGGGAGGCTGAGGCAGGAGAATCACTTGAACCTGGGAGGCAGAGGTTGCAGTGAGCCAAGATTGCACCATTGCACTCCAGCCTGGGCAACAAGAGTGAAACTCTATCTCAAAAAAAAAAAAGAAAAAGAAATGGACAAATTAGCTGAATAAACATCTCTCAAAAGATGACATACATATGGCCAACTAATATTTTTAAAATGCTCAACATCACTTATCATACAGGATATGCACATCAAAATCACATTCAGATATCATCTCATCCCAGTTAAAATGGCTACTATGACAAAGACAAAAGATACCAAATGCTAGTGAGAAAGCAAAGAAAAGAGAACTCTTGTATGCTGTTTGTGGGAACGTAAATTATTACAGCCATGAGGAAAAACACTATGGGGGGTTCCTCAAAAAACTAAAAATAGATTTACCATATATGGTCAAGCAATCCCATTACTGGGTACACATCCAGACAAAAGGAAGTCAGTATATCAAAGAGGTATCTGCACTCTCATGTTTATTGCAACACTGTTCACAATGGACAAAACATGGAATCAACCTAAGTGTCCATGAACATGTGAACAAATGAAGAACATATGGTATAAATACACAATGGAATATGATCTAGCTATGAAAAAGAATAAAATGCTGTCATTTGCAGCAACATAAATGAGCTTGGAGTCATTGTGTTAAGCAAAAGAAGCCAAGACACAGAAAGATAAATACTGTATGTTCTCACTCACATGTGGAAGGTTAAAAAGTTGCTCTCATAGAAGGAGAGTGTAGACTAAGGGTTACTTGAGGCAAGAAAGAGTTGGGGGAGGTGGGAATATAGCCAAAGATTGATGGATGGATACAAAAGTGCAGCTAGATAGGAGGAATAAGTTCTAGTGTTCTATAGGATTGTAGGGTGACTGTATTACACAATTTACTGTATATATATATATATTTTTTTTGAGATGAAGTCTCGCTCTGTCGCCCAGGCTGGAGTGCAGTGGCACAATCTCAGCTCACTGCAAGCTCTGCCTCCCAGGTTCATGCCATTCTCCTGCCTCAGCTTCCTGAGTAGCTGGGATTACAGTTGCCCGCCACCACACCCTGCTAATTTTTTGTATTTTTAGTAGAGACAGGGTTTCACCGTGTTAGCCAGGATGGTCTCGATCTCCTGACCTCGTGATCCTCCCACCTCAGCCTCCCAAAGTGCTGGGATTACAGGCATGAGCCACTGCACCTGGCTTACTGTATATTTTCAAATACCTAGAAGAGCAGATACTGCATGTTCCCAATGCAAAGTAATGATCAATGTTTGAGGTGTATATGCTAATCAGGCTGCTTTGATCATTACACATTGTATACATGTATTGAAATATCATACTGTACCCCATAAATATATACAATTATTATTGTGTCCATCTAAAATGATAAAAGCAAAAGAAGAAAAGAAAAAAAGCTACAATCTAATATTCACAATGAACATAGATTTTTTAAATCTTCAATAACATAGTAGAAAACCAAGTTCAAACACATGAACAGAATTACACAATATGACCAAGTAGAATTTATCCCTGAAATGAAAGATGTTTCAAAATATGCAAATCCATCAACATGGCACACCATATTAACAGAATGAAGAATAAAAACCACAGGATCATTTTAAAAGATGCAGAAAAATACCTGACATTACCCAACGTCCATTCATATTAAAACCACCACCAAAATAGGTATTGAAGGAACTTACCTCAACACAAATATGGTCATATATAAAAAGCCCACTGCTACCATCATAATCAATCAAGAGAAACTAAAATTCTTTCTTCTAAGATCAGGAACAAGATAAGAATGCCCACTCTTACCACTTGTATTTAACATGGAACTGTAAGTCCTACCAAGAGTAATGCGGCAAGAAAAGAAAAGGCATCTAAATCAGAAAAAAGTGAAGTAAAACAGTATCTCTTACAAGATCACATGATGTTGACCAGGCGTGGTGGCTCAAGCCTGTAATGCCAGCACTTTGGAGGCCAAGGCAGGTGAATCACTGGAGGTCAGGAGTTTGAGACCAGCCTGGCCAACATGGTTAGACCTGTCTCCACTAAAAATACAAAAATTATCCAGGTGAGATTGTGCACACCTGTAATTCCAGCTACTTGGGAAGCTGACCAAGATCACGCCACTGCACTCTACCCTGAGCGACAGAGCAAGATCCTGTCTCAAAAAAAAAAAAAAAAAAAAAGACGATTACATGATGTTATACGTAGAAAACCCTAAAGACTTAATATGCACACATAAAATTATAAACTAATAAACTAATAATTATAATTGCTAATAATAAACTAATAATAACTAATTACTATTCGTTATTATTTATTTATAATAGTTATATATTATAGTTATATATATAATAGCTATATATTATATATAGTTATAATATTATAATAGTTATATTATATATTATATAATAGTTATATATTATTAGTAATAATTACTAATAATAAACTAACAAATAATAACTAATAAATAATAACTAATAATAAATAACTAAAATAAACTAATAAATAATAACTAAAATAATAAACTAATAAATAATAATTATAAACTAATAAATTCAGTAATGTTGCAAAATACAAAATAAACCTACAAAAATCGGAGGTATGTCTGTATACTAACAAAGAACTATCCAATAAGGAAAATATGGCAACAATTACATTTGCAATAACAACAAAAAGAATAAAATTATTAGGATAAACTAAGCCAAAGAAGTAAAAGACTTGTACACTGAAAACCATAAAACATTGATGAAGAAAATTAAAGAAGACACAGAGAAATGGAAAGAACTCTTATGTTCACAGATTTGAATAATTAATAATGTTAAAGTATCCACACTACCAAAGAATCTACAGATTCAAGCCAATCCCTAGGAAAATCCCAATGGCATTTTCTACAGAAATAGGAAAAAACAATTCTAAAGTGTTTATGGAATCACAAAAAAAGCCAAAATAGACAAACCAATCCTGACCAAGAAGACAAAGCTGGAGACATCAACCTACAGACCAGAGAAAGTATTTGAGAACCATGTATTTAATAAGAAGTTAATATCCAAAATATGTAATTAATTCATACACTCAATAGCAAAAAAATAAATAAACAATCCAATTGAAAATGGACAAAGGACATGCATAGATATTTTTCCTAAAAGGACATACGAATGGCCAATAGATGCTTGAAAAGGTGTTCAACATCACTGATCATCAGAAAAAATGCAAACCAAAACCATGAGCTATCTATCATCTCACACCCATTATCATAGCTACTATCAAAAAGACAAAAAATAACAAGCGTTCATGATGATGTGAAGAAATTGAGAACCTTGTGCACTGTTGTTGGAAACGTAAAATTGTGCAGCCTCTATGAAAAGCAGCATAGAGTTGGAATTACCATATGACCCAGCAATCCCACATTTGAATATACAATCAATGGAAATAAAATCAGTATCTCAAACAGGCATCTGCACTCCCCTGTTCATTGTAGCATTATTCACAATCACCAAGATATGGAAACAATCAAACTTTCTGTTAATGGATGAATGGATGAAGAAAATGTGATATATACATTTTTCCGTTCTACAAAAGATATAATGGACTACTGTTCAGTTTTTAAAAAAAGAAGGAAACCCTACCATTTACAATAAAATGGATGAATCTGGAGGACACTATGCTAAGAAAAATAAGGGAGACACGGAAAGACAAATCAATGGGGCACTAATTAGAGAAAATGAGTGAGGCTGGTGGGAGCAGGGGAAAGCAAAAAGAGAAAGCAGATAAATTATCAGTCTGCCCTTCCTTACGGTCCGGAACATATAGCCCTCCTGCACAAATAATTCAAAATCCTCCTGCACCTGAATTATCATGAGACCCTCGGCTGATTGATAGGAAAATGCACGTTAGATCACTGCAACCTTGGCAATAGAGTACTGCACATAGCCCTCTCCAGCACACAGTACAAGCACCATCCTATAAAATCCCCAGCAAGCCTTTATCTCCTGGCAGTCAGCACCTCTCTTGCTGACTTGCCCATTGCTTTCTTGCAACATAGTTTTATACATTTTCTAATAAATCTGCCTTTCTTTACCTACAACTGTCTTAGTAAATTCTTTTTACCACCTGTGCACCAGACCCACATACTCATGACTCATGACAAAAATCCTATATGATCTGACTTCTATGTGGTATGTAAAATACTCAAACTCGTAGAATCAGAGAGCAGAATGGTGGTTTCCAGGGAGCCCAGAAGAAGCAGGAGAGAGGATTGAGAAGTTACTGGTCAAGGGTACAAAGTTTCAGCTATGCAAGATGAATGAACTCTGGAGATTTAATGGACAGTATGATGACCATGATTCATAATACTCTATAGTGTAGAGTAGCCCCCCATTATCTGCAAGGGATACATTCCAAGACCCCCAATGAGTACCTTAAACCATTCATAGTACCAAACCTTATACACAACGTGCTGTTTTTTTGATACATCCATACATATGATAAAGTTTAATTTCTAAATTAAACACAAGAAGAGATTAGCAACAAAGGCTAATAATAAAATAAAAATTTATACCAATATGCTGTAATAAAAGTTGTGTGAATGTGGTTTATCTCTCTTTCTTTCTCTCTCTCTCTCTCATATATCTTATATATCTTGTTGTACTGCCTCATCTGTTTTCAGACCCCAGTTGACCATGAGTAAATGAAACTTCAAAAATCTTTTAAAAGCTTTGCCTTTTCTGGAACTGCCTATAAATGAAATCATGCAATATGTAGCCTTCCGAGTCTGGCTTCCTTCAATACTTCTTTAATTTTAAGATACTAAATATGATATTAAATCTATGATGCATATGTTCATTAGCTTGAGTATGATGATTATTTCACAATGTGAATGTATATCAAAGTATCTACTTGTGCATTTTATATATACACAATTCCTATTTGTCAATTATACCAATAAAGCTGGAGGGGAAAAACAAATCTCATCTAGTAACTAAACAAAAATGTATATTAAATATATTGGCGCATAAGATCCAGATTTTTAAGAAATAAGATGAGTAATCTTATTTCCAGTAATTAAAACATCTGAAAAAATGAATATTCATAAGGATACATGATACCTTTAAAAATGTAAGATCCTAGTTAGAATGTGTAAATGATAAAATTATTGAAAGAAGCCAGACACAAAAAGCTACTTATTGTATTATTGCATTGATAAGCAGTTCTAGAAAAGGCAAAGTTATTGGAATAAAGAACAAACCAGTGGCCACTCAGAATTAGATTAAGGGCGAAGAGAATATTTCACTACAAAAGCACAACACAAGAAATGTTTGAAAGTAAGAAAATAGCATCTCTATTGTGATGGTAGTGTTTGAGATTCTAGACACCAATACAAAACGTACATAAGACATAGCTGTCAAAACTCATGGAAATGTACATCATAAATACTGAGTTTTGCCATATGTAATTTTTTAAAATTTAACACTCAAAAAAGATATAAAGTATTCATACACATGACACAGATTAACCTAAAAGACTTCTCTTTGAGGAAACAATAACATTTCATACTGTATGATTGAATTTACATAAAGCAAACTAATCTATACTGACATAAACCTGATCAGCAGTTGCCTAGAGAGGAGGAAGGGGTTGGCTGGGCACGGTGGCTCATGCCTGTAATCCCAGCACTTTGGGAGGCCAAGGCAGGTGGATCATCTGTGGTCAGGAGTTTGAGACCGGCCTGGCCAACATGGTGAAACCCCATCTCTACTAAAAATACAAAAATTAGTCTCGCATGGTGGCACACGCCTATAATCCCAGCTACTCGGGAGGCTGAGGCAGGAGAATTTCATAACCCGGGAGGCAGAAGTTGCAGTGAGCCAAGACTGTGCTATGGCACTCCAGCCTAGGTGACAGAGCAAGACTCTGTCTCCAAAAAAAAAAAAAAAAAAAAAAAAAGGAGAAAGAGAGAGGAGGAAGGGGTTAAGGAGATACAAGAGAGGGTGTTACACACAGGCACAACAAAACATTTGGAGGTGAGGGATGTGTTCATTATTTTGATCATTATGGTGGTTGTTCTGGTTTTTACCACTGTCAAAAGTTACAAATTATATACTTTAGATATACACGCTTGTTATATGTCACTTATAATTCAATGAAAGTATTATGACAAAAAAATTTAATTTAATGAACATATACAAGATTTTAAAATATAATTAGAATTGACTTAATAGATTAGTGAAAAGAGGAACATTGAAAAGAAACATTTAGTTCATACTTTAAATCATAATAGCCCTTCCCCAAAACTCAACTGTCTTTGTAAAGCTAATGAGAGACCATCAGGCTAGGAGGATAGAGGAGCCTTAATTTGGCCAAGATACAGACATAAACAAAAGTTACAAATTATATACTTTAGATATACATACTTGTTATATGTCAATTATACTTTAACAAAGCTGTTAAAATAAAAAAATTAAATGTAATATATTAAATAATTGCCAGCAATTATTCTGGAATTCACAGATATGCAACTTCCCCAATTACTCCTGCAGATACCATCACTATGGTAGAACCTGTGATTGGCCTTTTGAGATGCCTTTTTAGGTGTTTTTTTTTTTTAATGTCTAACACCAATGGCTTCTCCTGGACCCACCAGTTGTTCCTGTGGCCTCCAGAAGTAACTCCATGCAAAAAGACAGCTTCACTTCCTATGATTTCATCTCCAACCCAACCACTCAGCACTCCTCATACCCGAGCTCCCTGCCCACCAAGCATATTTGAAAAACACCTGGCCTCTGAGCCTTCGATGAGATTGCCTTGATGATAACTCTGTCACTGGTGTGGTTTGACCAGCCTCGCATCAATTAAACTCTTTCTTCACTGCAATGCCATGGTCTCCATGAATTGATTTGCTTGTGCAGCAGGCAGGAAGAACCTGTCAGGCACTTACACCACTCCAATCTTATACAAATTCTTCCAAAGCATAAACTATCAGGGTGCATTCCCTATATCAGTCAGTGTCCCTGCAGGAAGGAAACGGCACACTCACACAGGATACGTGACAAGAGTTTAATGAATGGCTATAAACAAAAAATAAAATTCTAAGGCCCCTAACCATCTGAACGGACCCCTCCTCTTGGCCAAGGGCATTCCAAAGCTAACCTAAAAAACTAGTTCAGGTCATAATGGAAGGAGGGGTCAAACCTGCCTCATTATACCCATCTCCCTTTTGGAATTCAGGAAAAACCAACCAGGATTTAACATCAACACAGACCTTAAGTCTGATAAGAAACATTTACAATCTATTATTTCTGAAGCCTGCTACCTGGACACTTCATCTGCATGATAAAACCTTGGTCTCCACCATCCCTTATCACAACCCAGACATTCTTTTCTATTGACAATCACTCTTTGAACCCACTGCCAATCAGAAAAATTTTAAACCCACCTAAGAACTGGAAGCCCCCCCAACCCCACTTCAAGTCATTCTGCTCTTCCAGATCAAAGCAATGTAAATCTTACATGCATTGATTGATGTATTATATCTCCCTAAAATGTATAAAAGCAAGCTGTACTCTGACCACCTTGTGCACGTGTCCTCAGGACCTCCTGAAGCTGTGTCATAGACACATCCCTAGCCTTGGCAAAATAAACTTTCTAAATTGATTGAGACCTGTCTCAGATACTTTTGGGTTCACAGGCTTATGGCTCTGCTGTGAGGAAAGTTAAGGGAAACCAATAACAAAATGCCCAAGGCAAGCAAGAGCGAAATATCTAATGGGAGGCAAGGAAAGGAGCTGTTGCTATGATCCAGTGAGACTTGTACTTGTGGGAGGGTGAGCTCACAGGACCTTTGGCCACAGGAGAGGAACACAGCCATGGCCAACTTGTAGCCCCAAAGAAGGGCAGCTGGGAGTGAATCCCCCCATCTCACTCTTGTCTTCCCTCCCATGTCCTGCCCTATCTCCAATGTGTCAACCCACAGAAAACCAAAGGTCAACATAGCCCAATGATGTCATCCAGAAAATGCCAGGTCGTAGGGTACAAAGCAGGCTATGAAAAGAAGAAGACTAGCTCTGTTGGAATAAATAGAAATCACCTCTACATCCCCCAATTCATAATGAGCTAGTATCCTGACACCAAAATCCAACCACTCGAAGACACAGACAAAATGTTCCATGCAAGATATTGGCAAAGTGAATGAAATTACATATAAAGAATACTATAAGCTGATTAAGGAGAATTTACACCAGAAACGCAAGGTAGGTTTCAAATTACAAAATTATTTGATGTAATTTAACACATTCACAGAACTAAGGGAAAAAAATTGCATGGACATTTCACTAAATGCAAGTGAGATGTGTTATAAAATTCATCTTTTCTGGATTTAAAAAATTATTTTACACAGGGGTCAGTGGCTCACACCTACAGTCCCAGCACTTTGGGAGGCTGGGTGGGCAGATAGCTTGAGCCAGAAGTTTGAGACTACATTGGGCAACATGGAGAAACCCTGCCTCTACAAAAATTACTAAAATTAGCTAGGTGTGGTGGTGCCCACCTGTAGTCCCGGCTACTCAGGAGGCTAAGGTGGGAGGATCACTTAAGTGCTGGAGGTTGAGGCTGCAGTGAGCCAAGACTGCACCACTGCACTCCAGCCCAGGTGACAAAGCCAGACCCTGTCTCAAAAAAAAAAAAAAAAAAAAAATTTAATTCTCTTAAAAATAGAAATAGAATAATATATCTTTTTTTCTTTTTTTTTTTTTTTTGAGACTCAGTCTTGCTCTGTCACCCAGGCTGGAGAGCAGTGGCGCAATCTCGGCTCACTGCAAGCTCCACCTCTTGAGTTCACACCATTCTCCTGCCTCAGCCTCCCGAGTAGCTGGGACTTCAGGCACCTGCCACCATGCCCGGCTAATTTTTTGTATTTTTAGTAGAGACGGGGTTTCACCGTGTTAGCCAGGATGGTCTCGATCTCCTGACCTCGTGATCCGCCCGCCTTGGCCTCCCCAAGTGCTGGGATTACAGGCGTGAGTCACCATGCCTGGCCTAGAATAATATATCTTTAATCTAATAAAGAGCATCTAACAAAAAAATCTTATATTAAACTTTCTATTTAATGGTGAAATATCAAAAGCTATCCTTTTGAATCTGGATGAAGGGTATCCAGAAATACTTATAAAATGTTGCACAGCTTTCTTATAAGCCTAAAATTATGT
Source organism: Homo sapiens (assembly GCF_000001405.40). NCBI lineage: Eukaryota > Metazoa > Chordata > Mammalia > Primates > Hominidae > Homo > Homo sapiens. The sequence goes on along the minus strand of NW_025791809.1, from coordinate 183,624 downwards.
GAAATTTAAAAATTTATATAAAACACAATGCTATCAAGAGCAAAAACAAAAAAAGTTCCTCTTGAGTTTAGAATAAAAATGCCTTCCTTCACCATTGCTATCCAACATTGTGCTAGAGATTCTACAAATGCAATAAAGCAAGACCAGTAAAATATATGAAGATTGAAGAGGAAGAAACAAATATGCATTAGATATATTTATATAAATAGTCTTAGAGAATCTACAGAGACTAAAGAGTTTTTGAATGTTAAATACAAAACAATATAAAATAATTAAAACCTTCTATATGGCAGCACAAACATTTATAAACTTACACTTTAAAGAATGTAACATTTACAATGGCATTAAAAATAAAAGATGCCTTGGAATAAATCAATTACTACATGTATAAGAGCACCATAGAAATATATATGTAAAAAGTTATAGAGAGAAAATAGGGAAGACCAAAATAAATGGCACCATGTACCAGCGTTATGGAGAGGAATACTCAATACTATCAAAACTTCAATTCTCTCCAAGTTGAAATCAAAAAGTTGTTTCTAAACTTATATGGGAATGCAGAGGACCAAAACCAGCAAAGACACTCTAGGAACAATGCCGAGACCAGCTCAGTCGGGGAGACCCTAACCCAGTGGTGCTAGAGGAGTTAAAGACACACGCACAGAAATACAGAGGTGTGACGTGGGAAATCAGGGGTCTCACAGCCTTCAGAGCTGAGAGCCCCAAACAGAGATTTACCCACGTATTGATTAACAGCAAATGAGTCATTAGCATTGTTTCTATAGATATTAAATTAACTAAAAGTATCCTTTATGGGAAACAAAGGGATGGGCTGAATTAAAGGAATAGGTTGGGCTAGTTAACTGCAGCAGGAGCATGGTGGTGCAGGATATGGAAGGCATATTGACAGTCAGTATAAATACTGATGCAAAGTCTCTTTGCAAGAGTGAGGGCCTGAGTTAAGGCAATGAGTCTGGCTTGCTGAGAGGTGTTAGGATCTGTGGGGTCAGCTAGGTTTGCTTTTGTGAGGATGGCAAAACTAGGTATCCAAAGGCGGAAGTACCTAACCATGCCTAGGAAGGAAAGGAGTTGTTGTTTTGTAGAAGGGATTGGGGTTTGGGAGATTAGCCAGACATGATCAGCAGGGAGAGCATGTGTGTTTTTATGAGAATTATGCTGAGATAGGTTACAGATGAGGATGAAATTTGGGCTTGACTGAAGTAATGGGGGCTGTCTGTGAAGGCTTGCAGTAGTACAGCCCAGGTAATTTGCTGAGGCTGATGGTTGTCAGGGTCAGTCCAAGTGAAAGCAAAGAGAGGCTGGGATGAAGTGTGCAAAGGAATAGTAAAGAAAGCGTGTTTGAGATCCGGAACAGAATAATGGGTTATGGAGGGGTTGGGGAGGGAGGTATTGAGAATAGAAGAGTATATGGCTTTGGCACCATGGGGTGGATAGGCAAGACAATTTGGTTAATAAGGTGCAGATCCTGAACTAACCTGTAAGGCTTTTCCAGTTTTTGGACAGGTAAAATGGGGGAATTGTAAGGAGAGTTTATAAGCTTTAAAAGGCTATGCTGTAGCAGGTGAGTGATAACAGGTTTAATCCTTTCAAAGCATGCTGTGGGATGGGATATTGGCATTGAGTGGGGTAAGGGTGATTAGGTTTTAATGGGATGGTAAGGGGTGCATGATCAGTCACCAAGGAGGCAGTAGAGGTGTCCTATACTTGTGGATTAAGGTGCGGAGATACAAGGGGAAGATGTGAAGGAGGCTTTGAACTGGGGAAAAGGGCAGCAATGAGGTGTGGCTGTAGCCTAGGAATAGTCAGGGAAGCAGATGATTTAGTTAAAATGCCTAGACCTAATAAGGGAACTAGGCAGGTGGGGATAACTAAAAAGAAGTGCATAAAAGAGTATTGTCCAAGTTGGCACCAGAGTGGGGGAGATTTAAGGGGTCTAGAATCCTGGCTGTCAATACCCACAACAGTTATGGAGGCAAAGGAAACAGGCCCTTGAAAAGAAGGTAATGTGGAGGGGGTAGCCTCTGTATTGATTAAGAAGGGGACGGACTTACCCTCCACTGTGAGAGTCACCAGAAGCTCGGCGTCCAGGGGGCTTCCAAGGTGATCAGGCTGCATCAGTCTTCAGCCACTAAGCCGAGAAGATCTGGGAAGGAGTCCGTCAGAGAGCCTTGGGCCAGAGTTCCAGGGGCTCTGAGAGTGGCTGCCGGGTTGGACAGTCCGATTTCCAGTGGGGTCCCACACAGATGGGACATGGCTTAGGAGGAATCCCAGGCTGCAGGCATTCCTTGGCCTAGTGGCCAGATTTCCAGCACTTGAAGCAAGCTCCTGGGGCAGGCAGTCCTGAAGGAACGCCTGGCCACTGTGGTTCAGGTGTTTGGAGTTCTTGTGTGCTGGAGATGTGCCTGGGGTTTCTCTCACAGTGGAGGCAAGGAATTGCAACTCAGAAATATGTTGCTACTTGGCTGCCTCTAGTCTATTACTGTACATCTTGAAGGTGGGGTTAATTAAGTCCTGTTGTGGGGTTTGAGGGCTGGAGTTTAATTTTTGGAGTTTTATTTAATGTTGGGAGCAGATTAGGTAATAAAATGTATATTGAGAATAAGACAGCTTTTTGACCTTTTAGGATCTAGGGCTGTAAAGTGTCTCAGGGTTGCTGCCAGACAAGCCATGAACTGGGCTGGGTTTTTATATTTGAGGAAAAAGAGCCTAAACGCTAACTGATTTGGGAGAGGTCGGATAAAGAAAAAGGAGCGTTAACCTTGACTATGCCTTTAGCTCCAGCTACCTCTTTAAGACGAAATTGTTGGGCAGGTGGGGAAGGGCTAGTCGTGGAATGAAACTGTAAGCCGGACCAGGTGTGAAGAAGGGAGGTGATGAAAGGATTATAGGGTGGGGGAGCAGAGGCTGAGGAAGAATTGGGACCTGGCTTGGCCTGGCGAGGAGCAGCCTGGGGAGGAGGGGAGATGTCAGATGGGTCTGTAAAGAAGAACGATTGGAAAGACGCAGCAACACTTGCGGTTGGGACTGAGGGGACAGGCGGGGGGGGGGGGGGGAAGAAGGAAGATTTGGGATGAGTTGCATTGGGAACAGAGACTAGGGAGGGACCAGTGTGTAAAAGAATGCCTGGACATCAAGCACCTCAGACCATTTGCCCATATTATGACAAGAATTATCTAGATCTTGTAGGATGGAGAACTCGAAAGTGCCATTTTCTGGCTATTTGGAACCATTGTCAAGTTTGTATTGAGGTTAAGTGGCATTGCAGAAGAAAATAAGGCATTTAGGCTTTAGGTCAGGTGTGAGTTGAAGAGGTTTTAAGTTCTTGAGAACACAGGCTAAGGAAGAAGAAGGAGGAATGGAGGGTGGAAGTTTGCCTATAGGGAAGGAGGCAAGTCCAGAGAAAAGAGAGGGTAGAGACACGGAGAGAAGGGGAGGGGGGTGCTTGTCCCCCTGGAAAGTGGAGAGAAAAGAGAGGGTAGAGACAGGGAGAGAAGGGGTGGGGGATGCTTGCCACCCAGAGGAAAGTGAAGAAGGAGTGGGGAGTGTTTCCCCACAAGAAAGTGGAGAGAAAAGAGAGGGTAGAGACACGGAGAGAAGGGGTGGGGGGTTGCTTGCCCCCCAAAAAGTGGTGCTTGCCACTAAGGGTGAAGGATCAAGGCAGGCGTCCCCGCAGTGATCAGACACCTCTGAAACGTGGGTGAATAATCAAGCAGGTGTCCTCACAGTGATTAAACACCAAGGGAAGGCTGTTTTCCCGAGTCCTTGACTGGCACCAGAGTTTTGGGCTCACGGATAATACGCGTCTTCTCTGTCTCTATCAGAAAAGGAACTGAAATTAAGAGAAGGGAGAGATTGAAGTGTGGCGCCAAGACTGAAAGGAGAAAGAGGTGGAGGGATAGTGAGAGAAGTTGGAGAAGAGAGTAAAGAGAGGCCACCTACCCAATTTAAAATTGGTGAGATGTTCCTTGGGCTGGTTGGTCTGAGGACCAGAGATTGTACGTGGATCTTTTTCTCATGGAGCAAAGAGCAGGAGGACAGGGGATTGATCTCCCAAGGGAGGTCCCCCCATCCAAGTCACGGCACCAAATTTCACGCGCGTACGTGTGAAGAGACCACCAAACAGGCTTTGTGTGAGCAACAAGGCTGTTTATTTCACCTGGGTGCAGGCGGGCTGAGTCCGAAAACAGAGTCAGCGAAGGGAGATAGGGGTGGGGCTGTTTTATAGGACTTGGGTAGGTAGTGGAAAATTACAGTCAAAGGAGGTTGTCCTCTGGCTGGCAGGGGTGGGGGTCACAAGGTGCTCAGTGGGGGAGCTTTTGAGCCAGGATGAGCCAGGAGAAGAAATTTCACAAGGTAATGCCATCAGTTAAGGCAGGAACAAGCCATTTTCACTTCTTTTGTGATTCTTCAGTTACTTCAGGCCATCTGGATGTATACATGCAGGTCACAGGGGATATGATGGCTTAGCTTGGGCTCAGAGGCCTGACAGCTCTGACATACCCACTGACCCCAGGGCACCTCCTGCCAATGTGTTTGGCACAGGGAACACCCCCACACCGGCCCCATGCTGTGCCCTTGTGGCCCCGAGGCTGCAGCACAGGATTCCTGTCTGGCCCTGGACCTGCCCAGGGCCCTGCTCTCTGCCACCACTCACAGGACAAACCCAAACAATTGCTGTCCTCCCTCTGAAATGGTGGCCATGGGGGTGCAGGGAAGCCCTCACATCCCTCCTGTGCCCAGGCCCCTCAGCCCCACGCTCTGGCTGGCTGCATCTGCCGTCCAGAGCCCTTGGTCACAAGACGTGCAGCCCGGACCAAGTGATGACAAGGGAGCCCCTTCCTAAGCCTAGAGATGGTCTAAAGCTTCATGGAACTGCTGGTCCCATGCTGGTCCACTGCTGGGACTCACCTGCAGCCAGATTCCCAGGTGAGGCTGAGGTGGCTTAAAGTGGTGCACGGGAGATGTCTGATATCAACCCTCTCCTGGAGGTAGATGATGTCTCCAGCCTGGTGACTTCCCTGGCCTCCAGCCACCACCACCCCCAGTGTCCCCAAGGCTGAAGGTGCAAGCTTGCCCTGGCCCTGGCCCTGGCATAGAAAGTGCACGATCTGGTCATGTCATGCAGGTGAGGATACCTGTGTGCCAGGTAACCTCATGCGGGCATGGTGGCACTTGTGGGGCAGTCCTGTAACCTGCAGTGTGGTGGGTGGGATGGATGTGTGTGACACAGGCAGGAACTTCCCCTCATGGTAGTTGAGGAACCACGTGTGTATTGGGTGGGGCTGATGGGAGTGAGAGGTGAGTGGCTGGGCACAGGCAGGTGAGTGAGTGACAGCTACACAAACCCCACCACTGAGCATGTCCCTCCCAGGACAAAGCAGATCAGAGCCACAGGCCCAGCCCTGGGAGGCCCAGAGGGGCCTCAGGTCCTCAGGGACCTGGCCCTCTTGGCCCTCAGAGGACCCCACTCCCTCTAGAAAGCCCCCCAGCTGGCTCCACCTGCAGCTGTGCAAGTGGGAAGGGGACACAGTGCTCTGAAGTCCAGAGAAGGAAGGAAGATGGAGGGAGGGCCGCCCTCTGCTCCCAGGCCCTCTATTCCCTGACCCTGATGCTCAGCCCCCTGAGGCCCTCCTGGAGCCCACATCTTTCAGCTGCAGTCTCCCAGCCTCTCTCCCCAGGACGAAGCCCACTCTGCCAGTGCTTTTCCACTGTAGCTGGCTTTTCCCCTTGGGGAGGGTCCTCAGATGGCGTAAAGTGAGGAAGGGTCCCCTGGCCCTGTCCCGCAGGGCCCCCACACCAGGCCTCCCCCATCTCTTCCTGTCTCTATCAGACACAGAGGCAGAGACAGAGGCAGCCACGTGCCCAGTCCCAGCAACAATCACACCCTCATATTCATATAATCACAGATCCCCACCCTACACAGTCACACACCCCAACCGCAGGTGCCACACACACACACCCCACACGCTCCCAACAGCGCATTCCACTCACACACACAGTCCCATTCTCACATATGTGCACCCAAGCGTCTTGCCCCACACACAACGTGACAGGCCACAGAGCAGGCTGAGAGTCTCAGAGTGCATGGACGCCTGCACCGCACAGGGACCCGCACAGGACCGCGCCCAGCCAGGGGTCCTCGCCTGCACTGCAGCTGCCTGGATCCTGCGCCACGGGATGGGCTGGGGGTGGTCCTGAAATCACCTGCGTGCTAGGGCTCTCACATGTGAAGCTGTTTCCACAAGAAGGTGCATGCTACACACAACACATAAGGCATTCTTGAGGTAAAGGAGAATTCCATTTATTAACTTTATCAAAGTACAATACGTGGGGTCCTCATGATGCCAACAGCCAATGCCAGACTCAAGGTGGAGTCTGACCCTGACCTGCCTCTTGGCCTTCCCATTAGAGCCAGGAGAAAAGCAGCACGCCCAGCACCTCCACCACTGTCTCTTTAGCACAGTGGTGGAGTTTCTGGACAAGAAAATAGAGCCAGAAAAACAAGTAAGGCTTCTGAAGACCCTAATCCATAAAGCTTTACTGAGAGATGTAAAATAAAACTTCAGTGAATGGAGGAAACGCACCAGACCCTCAAAGCCAGGACTCAATATTAAAGGGTGTCAGCTCCAAATTAACACAGAATTTGAAAGCACTTCAAATCAGAATTCTAGCAAGTATTTTTTTCTTTCATAATTTGAAATAAAAGTTCTTCACCAAATAAATGTGTAAGAATATTCAATCCCAAACTAGTAAACTGGGAAAAGGACATTCACAGGCAACTCACAAAAGGGAAGCCCATGGCCAATGCATGCAAAAGATTCTCATTCTCACAGCTCATCAAATGCACACATTCAAATTATTTTCATCAAATTGATACAGACTTTGTTTTCTTATTGGCAATACCTAGGGTTGGTAAGGATGCGGGAAATGGTATTTTCCTATGATTGATGGGAACACTGCTTGGCACAGATGTTCTAGTGGGCAAGGTGGCCATGTGCATCCAAAGGCAGGAACCCTTGGCCTGCCATTTTCATGTTCAGGTCTTGATCCTTGGTAAATAATGAAAGCCAGGCCCAAACACGTAGCTACTTTTTTTTATTTTGTTTTTGTTTTTGTAGAGACGGGGTCTGATACGGTTTGGCTCTGTGTCCCCACCGAAATCTCATCTTGAATTGTACTCCCATAATTCTCACGTGTTGTGGGAGGGACCCAATGGGAAATATTTTGAATCATGGGGGCAGTTTCCCCCATATTGTTCTCATGGTAGTGAATATGTCTCACGAGATCTCATGGTTTTATCGAGGGTTTCCGCTTTTGCACCCTTCATTTTCTCTTGCCGCTACCACATAACTTTTGCCTCAGGCCATGATTCTGAGGCCTCCCAGCCATGTGGAGCTACAAGTCCCATTAAACCTCTTTTTCTTCCCAGTCACAGGTATGTCTTTATCAGCAGCATGAAAACAAACTAATACAGTAAATTGGTACTGGGAGTGGGGTGTTGCTGAAAACATACCCGAAAATGTGGAAGCAACTTTGGAACTGGGTAACAGGCAGAGGTTGGAACAGTTTGGAGGGCTCAGAAGAATATAGGAAAATGTGGGAAAGTTTGGAACCTCCTAGAAATTTGTTTAATATTTGATAAAAATGCTGATAGTGATATGAATACTAAGGTCCAGGCTGATGTGGTCTCAGATGGAGATGAGGAACTTGTTGGGAACTGGAGCAAAGGTGATTCTTGTTATGTTTAAGCAAAGAGATTGGCGGCATTTTGCCCCTGCCCTAGAGATTTGTGGAACTTTGAACTTGAGAGAGATAATTTAGGGTATCTGGCAGAAGAAATTTCTAAGCAGAAAAGCGTTCAAGAGGTGACTTGGGTTTAAAAACATTCCATTTTAAAAGGGAAACAGAGCATAAAAAATTGGAAAATTTGCAGCCTGACGATGCAGTAAAGAAACACCCATTTTTTTAGAAGAAATTCAAGCTGGCTGCAGAAATTTGCATAAGTAACAAGGAGGGGAATGTTTAACCCCAAGACAATGGGGAAAATGTCTCCAGGGCATGTCATTGGTCTTCCCATCACAGACCCAGAAGCCTAGGAGCAAAAAATGGTTTTGTGGGCTGGACCCAAAGTCCCCATGTTGTGTGCAGCCTAGGACTTGCTGCCTTGTGTCCCAGCCACTCCAGCCATTGCTAAAAGGGGCCAAGGTACAGCTCAGCCCATGGTTTCAGAGAGTGCAAACCCCAACCTTGGCAGCTACCATGTGGTGTTGAGCCTGCGGGTGTACAGAAGTCAAGAATTGAGGTTTGGGAACCTCCATCTAGATTTCAGAAGATGTATGAAAATGCCTGGATGCCCAGGCAAAAGTTTGCTGCAGGGGAGGGGCCCTCTTGGAGAACCTCTGCTAGGGCAGTGCAGAAGGGAAATGTGGGGTCAGAGCCCAAACACAGTATCCCTACTGGGGTACTGCCTAGTAGAGCTGTAAGAAGAAGGCCACCATCCTCCAAACATCAGAATGGTAGATACACTGACAGCTTGTACAAGGTGCCTGGAAAAGCCGCAGACACTCAATGCCAGCCCATGAAAGAAGCCAGCAGGGGAGCTATGCCCTGCAAAGCCACAGGGGTGGAGCTGCCTACGACTATGGGAACACACCTCTTGCATCACTGTGACTTGGATATGAGACATGGAGTCAAAGGAAATCACTTTGGAGCTTCAAAATTTGACTGCCCCGCTGGATTTTGGACTTGCATGGGTCCTGTAACCCCTTTGTTTTGGCCAATTTCTCCCATTTGGAATGGCCGTATTCACCCAATACCTGTACCCCCATTGTATCTAGGAAGTAACTAACTTGCTTTTGATTTTACAGGCTCATAGGTGGAAGGGCCTTGCCTTGTCTCAGATTAGACTTTGGACTCTGGATTTGGGTTAATGCTGAAATGAGTTAAGAATTTGGGGGACTGTTGGGAAGTCATGATTGGTTTTGAAATGTGAGGACATGAGATTTGAAGGGGCCAGGGGCAGAATGATATCGTTTGGCTCTGTGTCTCCACCCAAATCTCATCTTGAACTGTACTCCCTTAATTCCCACATTTTGTGGGAGGGACCCAGTGGGAGAGAATCTGAATCATGGGGGCAGTTTCCCCCACACTGTTCTCATGGTAGTGAATAAGTCTCACAAGATCTGATGGTTTTATCGGGGGTTTCTGCTTTTGCATCTCTGTCATTTTTCTCTTGCCGCCACCATGAAAGTGCCTTTTGGTGGGAGGCCTCCCCAGCCATGTGGGAGGCTGAGGCCTCCCCAGCCATGTGGAACTGTAAATCCAATTAAACCTCTTTTTCTTCCCAGTCTTGGGGATGTCTTTATCAGCAGCGTGAAAACAGGCTAACACAGGGTCTCGCTGTGTTACCCTGGCTGGAGTGCACTGGCAGTCATAGCTCCCTGCAGCCTGGAATCCTGGCCTCAAGCAATCCTCCTGCCTCTGCCTCCCAGCCAGCTGGGACCACAGGCAGGAGCCAAGTGCACCCAGCTCTAACTGCCATATTATTTATCACCGCATGATTTATAAAAGCCAGGTCCAGTAGAAAAACAGATGATGTTTTATAAGAAATAAATCATTTAAATTTCCTAAATGTACCACAATGAACGTATGTCGTGTTGTAGAAGAAAATTTTCATGTGGGAGTCATACTTACTTTTTTGAAAAGGAGGGCAAGGTCCTTGCACAGAAAATGTTTATACACCACCGTCACAGAGCGGATTTTACTACAGGCGTCTCTCTAGATAACATCTCAATATAGATGGGGTGATGGGTGTGTCCTGGGGCCATGAGAAGCCTCCTGCAGCTCAGCACTTCCGGACTCCTAGGAACTTCCAGTCCCAGAAGGCAGGGGGAGAGGCCTGGCGGGAGCGGAGGGACACAGCTGCTCCTGCATCCCAGGCTGAGCTGCTCCATACAGGGCAAGGAAGCAGCTAAGGGGTTGGAGTCGGCCATCCTGGCCTCATCTCCAGGGTCCTGGCCACACAAAGTCAACACAAAGGTAACCCCAAATAAGAACATGTCCATGCAAAGGTACATGGGTCAATGCACCTTTAAAACTAAAACCAAAGAGGCTTCTGCTTGCATAGGGTGGACTGGGACCTTCACTCATGTCCCCTCCTTCTGGTGACCAAACCAAGGCTAAGGGAGTATTGAAACTTCCCACCTCACAGGCCAGGTGCAGTGGCTCACACCTATAATCCTAGCACTTTAGGAGGCTGAGGCGGGTAGATCACTTAAGGTCAGGAGTTAGAGACCAGCCTGGCCAACATGATGAAACCCTGTATTCACTAAAAATATAAAAAATTAGCTGGGAGTGATGGCAGGTGCCTGTAATCCCAGCTACTTGGGAGGCTGAGGCCGGAGAGTCACTTGAACCCGGGAGGCCGAGGCTGTACTGAGCTGAAATCCTGCCACTGAACTCCAGCCTGGGCGACAGAGCAAGACTCCATCTCAAAACAAAAAAAAAAGTCCCACCTCACACTAACAGAGAATGAGGAGGGATCCTTAGAGGACCTGAGATTTCAACCACATGGAGCAGGAGGAAGATGCTGTGACTGAAAGAGAGCCTGGTGGGTCTCAAGGGAAGGTGCTCCAAGGTGGAGTCAGGACAGGGAAACCTATTTGCTCCTCAACCAGCTACAGAGGCTGGGAATCAGGCTCTGCTCCAGGAGATGTGTGGGACCAGGACTGGAGGCTGAAGCCGTAGGATGGATTGAAATCTGTGCATCATTTATCATCTTCAGCAGGGAGCTCGGGCTTCCTCTGTGAAATAACCCAACAGCTTCTCCCATCACCACCACCATGAAAAATAGCATCCACCTAGTCCAAGTCTATAATGCAATGACTCACTCCCTACCCCATCCCCCTATGCAAAAGCCCATCCACTGACAAGCACTGTCCCAGACATCAGGGCTCCCCTCCAGGTCTCCAGCTCCCTGGTGACAAGACTGACAGACAAAACTAATGGAACCTGGTACCTAGAAGAGGATGAGAAGGATCCCCGTGAACCCTAGAGAAGACAAGGGGATGTGACCGGGCAGACCCTCAGGGGGCACAAGACACAGATTCAACTGGCATCCAAAGGGGACAGTCTGGAATTTTTTTTTTTTTTTTTTTGGTTTATGTTTGTTCTTTTGGGCATCAAATACTGCACCCAAATATGAGCCATTCATCTTAAGACAACTGCTTTTGTTATAAGAATCCTGTTCTGATATTCACAATTAACTCTGGACAACTTAAAACTTATTAGTGACACTGCTATCTAATAATAAAATATTTCATCATAGGCCGAATACAATTTTTTTTTTTTTTTTTTTTTTTGAGACGGAGTTCACTCTTGTTGCCCAGGCTGGAGTGCAATGGCACGATCTCGGCTGACTGCAACCTCCGCCTCCCGGGTTCAAGCGCTTCTTCTGCCTCAGCCTCCCGAGTAGCTGGGATTACAGGCATGCGCCACCATGCCCGGCTAAAAATTTTGTATTTTTAGTAGAGACAGGGTTTCTCCATATTGGTCAGGTTGGTCTCAAACTCCCGACCTCAGGTGATCCGCCCACCTCGGCCTCCCAAAGTGCTGGGATTACAGGCGTGAGCCACCGCGCCCGGCCAGGCTGAACACAATTATTAAATGAAAAGAGCAAAGTTTCTCCCGCTCTTTCTTACCTTCAAACCAAACCAAAAAAGTAGTTTTCACGGGAAAGAGCACCTACTTCAGGGAGACTCAATTTTTAACCAGTTTTATTTATATTCATTTATTTATTTATTTATTTATTTATTTATTTATTTTTGAGATAGCGTCTAGCTCTGTCACCCAGGCTGGAGTGCAGTGGTGTGAACTCGGCTCACTGCAACCTCAGTCTCCCCAGTTCAAGCGATTCTCGTGCCTCAGCCTCCTCCCCAGTAGCTGGGACTACAGGTGCCCACCACCACACCTGGCTAGTTTTTGTAATTTTAGTAGAGACGGGGTTTCGCCATGTTGGCCAGGATTGTCTCGAACTCCTGACCTCAAGTGACCTATCCGCCACGGCCTCCCAAAGTGCTGGGATTACAGGCGTGAACCACCGTGCCTGGCTGTTAACTAGTTTTATTAAACCCTACAAGCTCTAAAACACGAGACAAGGCTTTCCAGAGTAAATAGGATGATAAAAAGTTAAAATTCCCTGGAAGAGTCTGTTTTCACCAACTTGCAAGAAGTGAAAGAGCCGATTTCTTTCTGTTTATTCTTTAAAAGGTTTGGCCTGCACCCTCAGTGCACACTGTGGAAGGACAGCCCCATAGTCACAAGGGCTGTTCAGGGACAGAGCTTCCCATCCATCCAATCCACAGCCAGGAATCTTGACGGCAGCAAGAGAAAAGTCACTCATCACCTCCGAGAGAGGCTCCGTGAGAGACACAGCCAACTTCTCATCAGAAACCATGAGCATCTGAACACGCGGAGTGCACATTCAGAGCGCAGAAGAGAAAGGGAACTAGGCTGGGCAAGCTGATGGCAGGGCTGGTCCAGGGACGGGCTGGGACTCCCAGCCCCAATCTGTTCTCAGGGACGAGAAGTCCTGGCTGAGATCCACGCAGCTCAGGAAGGTGGTGACCCCAGGCCATGGGTCCCGCTGAGGATGCCTGGAAATCCGCATCAACCCAGCTGGCTCAGGTGGAGATGGAGGCTCCGGGACAGTGTGGGATGGGAGGAGGGTGAGTAAATGCCAGGCCCGGTCCAGGGCCTCTCCCTGGCCTCCAGCCTGCAGCCCACCCTAACCCTTCCTCAGCAGGGCTGATCACTATCAGGGATGGCCCAGGTGCTGTCAGAGAAGAGGGTGAGCCAGCTGTGTCCTGTGTGCCTGTGACAGGTCCCAATGGCAGGAACTTCAGGCAGGGAGGCAGAGATCCCACACAGTCCTGTCACCATGGCAGGGCAGGTGTGTGACCCGGGCGGGTTCACGTGCGCAGCGTGGAGAGGAGTGTGCGCTGGGTGTAGGACAATGGGCGTGGCAGGTGGGGGGAGGCACAGGTGGGTGGGTGTGACAGGCACACAACCATCACTGCTGAGCACCTCCCTACAAAGCGCCAGGGGGCCCAGGGCTACCAGTCCTGAGGGCCCACAGGGGGGCTGGCATCCCTGGGGAATCCTTGGGCCCTATGCCCTCCTGGCAGCCCTGTGACACATGCCCCAGGTCTGGGATGGTGGCCCAGCAATGCCCTCAGGGCCAGGGAAGTGGGTGGAAGGAGAGGAGCCGCGTCCACACTCCTCCTGAGTTTCCTGAGCACTCTCCAGGATCCCAGGCCACCCTGGGGTATCCGGCCAGGGACTAGGAACCTGGCAAGGGCCTGGGCCTGAGATAGGTGAGCTCCTTCCACCACCTCAGGCCTCAGGGCCCCTCCCACCTCTGAGCCCCCACCCAGGCTGGCTCCCAGAGTCCCCCATCATCCCCATGAAATGTGTGCACATGCCCCTCTCCCAGGTCCCCACCAGCCTCTAGGGAACACGCCTACCATGGGGGCGGGGTGGGGGCAAAGCCTCCAGAGCTGGGCTGGGTGGAGGCTGCAGGTGGCCCTGATGCTCCCCCCTCTCCCAGACCTGTTCTTGATCCCCACCCCAAGGTTCTCCTGGGCCCCACAGGCTGCGCCTACTCCTAACCCTGCAGCCAGCAAAGCCCTCACCCCTCCCGAGTGTGGCACCGGAAGTCCTTGCTGGCCTCCTGGCCAGATGAGGGCTGCCAGACCGGACGAGACAGGACCCCGTGATGGGGAAGGGCCTTCTCTCGGCCTCTGCTCACGAGCTAGAGACCAGCCTCAGGGTGGGGCTGGGTGGGAGGGATGAGCACAGCTGCACCCTACCCAACTCACCCCAACCCCCAGTCACCCTCTGGCCCACACTGCTCCCCACACCTCTGCCCAGGTCTCATAAATCCTGCCCAGTGGCCCCTCCCCACACAGCCCCCCAAGAGCAGTTCCACTTGGGATTGTCATGGTACCTGCAGCTCAGCAAGCTGACATCTGTGCTTCCCACCCCAACAGGGGCAGGGAGCCCGGATGAAGAAAGAATGAGGGCAGAGGGCACCCCATGCCCAAGACCCACCCACCCCAGGACCCTCCAAGAGGCCATCAGGGCGACGCCAACACACACACAGACACACACACACACACACAAACAAACACACAATTACACCCCACAGTGTGGTCACTTACAGGAGGTGAGCCTTTTCCACTGGTGGGTCAGGCCTCAGTGGGGTCACTGAGAACCCACCAAATCCTCCCAAATCCCAGCGTCAGGGCTCTGTTGGTCTCGCTCCAGTTCAATCCCTCTCTCCCTCTCTCTCTGCAGCTTATCCTGTCTCCGTATCTTTCCCCCTCATTCTCGGAGTCACTCAGTCTCCCTCTTAAACAACAGGTCTCTCTCCCACTCCACCTCCCACCATCTCTCCCAATCTCTCTCATTCATTTTCTGAAATATTCAATCCCTTTCACACACGACTTTCTCCGTCTCTCTCATTGATACACACACTCTCCCCCCATCCCTGTCTCTCTCTCACACACACACACATGCACACACACACGCACACAGGCAGACTCAGCCCTCCAGGGTCTATGTCTCTGAGCTGAGCCCCGCTGAGAGGCAGGCTTGTCTGGGGATTGCAGGGAGCACTCACGCCCACATAGGATGTGTCCACGTGGACAGCGCTTGGCCCTTTATGTACCCACTGTGGATCCTTCACTAGGCAACCAGGCTGGACTTGGACCAGTGCAGGTGGAACTAAGCCAAGACCCTGAAGGCCAGGGCAGGGTCAGCTCCAGCCTCAGCACTCGCCCTAATCCAGGCACGGTGGAGAGTAGCGTGAGCCACCAGGCGGGCCCAAGCTGAAGAGCTCACCGCATAGCGGGGACAGGGATGGCAGGAGACTTGCCACTCAGACCAGGGAAGGATGACAGGGACCCCAGGCACAGGCACAGGTGTCAGCAGAGACCACATCAGTGGGGGTCCCCTTGGGCAGGTGGGGGGTGGCATCCAGGGCTGGAGGGTCACAGGCCACTGGCATGGCTCAGCCCAGTTCTCACACAGCATCCTCCATCTCTATAATCATGGGGTCAGTGTCACCCCTGGGCATGAAATGGAGATACTGCTGTTGGCAAATGAGCTTGGAGAGCAGAGGCCAAGACTTCTGGGTGTCAAGTGAGGTGTCACAACTGGGGCCTGACTTCATAGAGGCCAAGGTTTCTTCATAGAGGAAGAAACCCCGGGAGAGTGGCTCCCACGGAGGGAACTGCCATGCACAGCTCCGGGGGAGGAGGTGGAGCAGTGGCCACCAGCCCTGACAGAAGGCAATGCGGGGCCCAGGGGCCCAGAAAGAAAGGGCAGAGTGTGGCCTGGTGAGGCCACTGCCCCAAGGGCCTATGCAGTCCCTTGACTGCGACCTTTGACAAAGTGTGTTACTTGGGTGGGGTTGGGGGGACTCCAAGCTGTGATGACTCAGGCCAGCTGGCAGGAGCGTGCATGGTGACCGGGATGGAGCAGGGTTCAGTGAAGCAACCCCATGGATATAAGCACAGGGCCCACCATGGCACATGCAAAGGAAGGGGAGGAGAAGGACCGGGTTGGCAACAAGGAGAAACCCGGCTCAAAGCAGGTTTGAGGGAGGAAGCAGAGAGGACAGTTCAGAGGACAGCTTTGCAACTGACCAGTTAGAAGGCAAAGGAGCCCAGGCCAGGCACGGTGGCTCAAGCCTGTAATCCCAACACTCTGGGAGGCCAAGGTGGGCTCGCTTGAGGTCAGGAGTTTGACACCAACCTGGCCAACATGCTGAAACCCCCTCTCAACTAAAAATACAAAAAGTAAGGCCAGGCACAGTGGCTCACGCCTGTAATCCCAGAACTTTGGAAGGTCAAGGCGGATGGATCGCTTGAGGCCAGGAGTTCCAGACCAGTCTGGCCAACATGGTGAAACCCCGACTCTACTAAAAATACAAAAATTAGCCAGGCCTGGTGGCGCACACTTGTAATCCCAGCACTTGGAAGGCTGAGGCAGAATGCTTGAACGTGGGAGGCAGAGGTTGCAGTCAGCCCAGATCACGCCACTGCACTCCAGCCTGGGCGACAGAGCTAGACTCTGTCTTTAAAAAAAAAAAAAAAAAAAATAGCTGGGCGTCATGGGGCACACCTGTAGTCTCAGCTACTGGGGAGGCTGAGGCATGAGAATTACTTGAACCCTGGAGGCAGAGGTTGCAGTAGGCCCAGATTGTGCCAACGCACTCCAGCCTGGGCGACAGAACGAGACCCTGTCTCAAAAAAAAAAAAAAAAAAAGCCGGGCACAGTGGTACACACCTGTAATCCCAGCACTTTGGGAGGCTGAGGTGGGTGGATCGCCCCTGAGGTCAGCAGTTGGAGACCAGCCTGACCAACATGGTGAAACCCCATCTCTACTAAAAATACAAAATTAGCCGGGCGTGGTGGCGTGCGCCTGTAGTCCCAGCTACTCGGGAGACTAAAGCAGGAGAATTGCTTGAACCCGGGAGGCGGAGGCTGCAGTGAGCCAAGATTGTGCCACTGCACTCCAGCCTGGGTGACACAATGACACTCCGTCTCAAAAAAAAAAAAAGAAAAGAAAAGAAAAAGCAGCTCAGCTAGCAGGAGAGAGCCAGCACCGGAGCCTCCACGCCTGGACTTTACTCTCTGGCCCCAGTGGGATCACCTCCTCCAAGAAGTGGCCCCTGGTCCTGCTGAAGGCCCCACTCTAAGATGCAGCGCTCTCCACGCTGTGTAAGTCCCTGGCTAAGGCTCCCTGACCACCCCTGTACTTGCCGGCTCAGCCCACCAGGTGGCGCCCGCGCCATGCCTCGGCCCTGCTGGACTCCGAAGCCGCCACTTCCCTGCGGGCGCCTCCTGGTGTTTGTTCCCTTGGGCTCGGCCTGGACAGCCCTGCTGGTTCCCGGAGCCTAGCCCAGCCCCGCGAGTGATTCACAGAACTCACACCTGACGGTGGGGGAGGAAGGGGAGAGCAGCAGCCAAGAGGTGGGTCCAGGCTCTCCCAGGGGCGAGTGACTTCAGTCCAGATGTCCCCTGAACCCCTGGGGATTCCGCATCAGGACCAGGGCCTCCCATGTCCAGACCCCACATTCCCGTCAGTGTGTCCCGGGGAGCACGGAGGGACCTCCACACTGCATTTCATGGGGCGACCGCCCTTAACACCCGGACACACACGGAACCCCACACTACCCTAAAGTCTGAAAGGTGGACACGCGTGGCGAAGTTTTAGAGGAATTTCAGGACAAAAGTCCTGAAACCACAAGGTTCTTACCACCTGAAAACCAGCTCCGTAACAGACAAACTAGACACTTGTGAGTTTGCCGGCATTTGCTTTAAAAATAACAAGGCTGGTCCAAGATCTTAGAAGAAAATTATATTCTTTTAAAGAAAATGAAAATATCCTCAAGGGAAAAACTTAATTTAAGTCAAATCTTGTCCTTTTGTCGTGGAGCCCCTTGCCCCGCGCGCAGACACAGGCTTTCCTGAAGCGTGGCCAGGGCGCCCCTCTCATCGCTCCTGAGCGTGACCCGGGGCTGGAGCCGCACGGGGATTTTCCCGAGCTGAGCAGGGGGGTCGGGGGGCCCAAGCCAGGAGCCCTGGAAGAGGGAGCAGGGCGGCAACTGGGGCCGCAAACACCCATCAAAGTCCCCAGGACCAATTCCCACAGACACCACGTGGCCACAGGCAGTGCCCTTTGCAGGCCCCCTCCCCAAGGGTGTCACCCCTCACCCCCTCCTGGGACCCCGCCTAAACCAGGCACCCTTCCACCCACCAGCAGGAACTGCGCTAGGAGATGCAGGAACACCCATGTCCCCGCCAGCCCCGCCTTCCAGACCACACCCTGCCCGGGAGTGCGCTTTGCGAGGTCGGGGTCGGGGGGGAGGGCGGGGGCCAGGCCCCTGAACAACAGACAGCAGCTCCCACCCAGCAATGCAGCCGGGTCACCTCGCACCCCTGGCCAAGGCAGGGGCCCTCTCCAGCCTGGTGACCCACGGCCTACCCTGAGGCTGCAGGGCACAGGGGGCCTCCAAGTGGAAAGCTGGTGATGGGGTGGGTGGGAGGCAGGGCCCGCAGGGAAGTGACTTGAGCAGGCACAGACGGTGAATAAATAGAAGCTTCCACGCGGGGGTCCGGCCCCTGCAGACAGCAGCTCGGTGGGAAACTGATTGGAGGGAGCTCCCCTGACGCTGACCAGGGCCACCCACGCGGGCCCTCCCTCCACACCCACACCCACCCCGGCCCAGGGACGGGTTTTCCCCTGCTCAGAGCTCAGTGACGTGCACAGTGGGTGAGGGAAGAGGCCCAGGTTGGAGGCGCCGCAGGTGGCAACGACGACACAGTAGGTGGCCCGCCAGGGGATAGCAACGGCGTCCCTCCTCCCCGCTCAGCTGCAGCCCGCAGTCCTAGGGAAGAACACAGCCCCCAGCCCCAGAGTCAGCAGACAAGCGCACATCAGAGGTCACGGGACGGGGGAGGGACGGAGGGGAGGGGCAGATCTGCAGGGTGCCGCAAAACAACATGAAGACTCTTCCGCCGGGCGCAGGGGCTCACACCTGTAATCCCAGCACTTTGGGAGGCTGAGGCGGCTGGATCATCGCTTCGGTCAGGAGTTCGAGACCAGCCCAGCCAACATGGTGAAACCCTGTCTCTACTAAAAATACAAAATTAGCCGGGCATAGTGGCACATGCCTGTAATCCCAGCTCCTTGGGAGGCTGAGACTGGAGAATCACTTAAACCCGGGAGGCAGAGGTTGCAGAGAGCAGAGAGCCTGCCATTGCATTCCAGCCTGGGTGACAACAGCGAAACTCCATCTCAAAAAAAAAAAAAAAGACTCTTCCTCTGCCAGAGGGGGTATGGGAAGCCCGGCGTGGAGCACTGGAGACTGGAGCTGCCTCTCAGGTATCCAAGAGGAAGTCACTGGATATAAGTCAGACTGCGGGGAGAGGGCTGAGCAGTCAACATGGGTGTCAGCATAAAAACCTGATGGTTTGGGTGTTTTTTGTTTATTCGTTTGTTGTTGTTTGAGACAGGGTCTCTCACTGTCACCCAGGCTGGAATGCAGTGTCTGGATCCCAGTTCACTGCAGCCTCGACCTCCAGGGCTCAAGTGATCCTCCCACCTCAGCCTCCTGAGTAGCTGGGACCACTGGCGCACCCTGCCACGCCCTGTGAATTTTGTTTATTTTTTGTAGTGATGGGGTTTCATGTTGCTCAGGCTGGTCTAGAACTCCTGACCTCAAGTGATCCTTCACCTCGGCCTCCCAAAATGCTGGGATTACAGGCATGAGCCACCGTGCCTGGCCTGTTTTTTGTTTATTAGACAGGGTCTCACTCTGTCGCCCAGGCTGGAATGCAGTGGTGCGATCTCAGCTCACTGCAGCCTCAAACTCCTGGGCTCAAGCAGTCCTCCCACCTCAGCCTCCCAAGCAGCTGGGACTACAGACATGTGCCACCATGCCCGGCTAATTTTTTTCCCCTTGTATTTTGTAGACATGGCGTCTTGCTATGCTGATCAGGCTGATCTTGAACCCCTGGCTTCACAACCATCCTCCCACCTCGGCCTCCCAAAGTGCTGGGATTGTAGGCGTGAGCCACCGCACCCAGCCAAACGTGATGGGGTTTTTTGTTTTTGTTTTTTTTGAGACAGAGTCTCGCCCAGACTGGAGTGCAGTGGCATGATCTCAGCTCACTGCAAGCTCCGCCTCCCGGGTTCACGCCATTCTCCTGCCTCAGCCTCCCGAGTAGCTGGGACTACAGGCGCCCGCCACCACGCCCAGCTAATTTTTTGTATCTTTAGCAGAGACGGGGTTTCACCGTGTTAGCCAGGATGGTCTCGATCTCCTGACCTCGTGATCCGCCCGCCTCGGCCTCCCAAAGTGCTGGGATTACAGGCGTGAGCCACCGCGCCCGGTCACGTGATGGTTTTTAAAGACAAAACAGGAGACCACCTCTTCCAGGGGGTGCAGATCACTAGAAAAGAGAAGACGGCAAACAGCAGAACCTTCCATGAGGAGGTGGGAAGAGAACAGGCCTGGGCAGAAGAGACTCAAGGAGAAACGAAAGTGAAGACAACCACAACCTGGCAGCCCCGAGGGCAAAGTGAAGCAAGTGGGTGGAGGAGGGAGCGGCCCTGTGCTCCAAGCTGCTGGGGGGCCCGGAAGGAAGTGTCCACCAGTTCCCACCACACAGGGGTCCCTGGAGCAGGGTGAAGGGATGAATGCCACCCCCGGGTGGTCTGAAGAGGCAATGGTGAGAGGACCTGGGAAGCAGGGGGCGGGCTTCAAGTACCCTATCTCGCAGTTTTTACCGTTGCGGGCTCGGGGCTGGAATGCTGGCGGCTTTGACCCGTTACCCAGAGCCCCTGACACCAACACCTGGCCCGCCCTGCGCAGGGAAGGGAGCTGGGCTGCTGCAGTGACACCACATCACTCCTTTCCCTGGTCTCCTGTCTGTCCCACCACAGGCCACTGGCTGGGCCCTGCTACCGACCGCTGCACACCAGGCCAGGGAGGAGTGCGGGGTCCCGGAGGTATCAGTCCCCATCCAACAGCCTCGCGGCAGCACAGCACCACCACCAGCCGCCTGCCCCGCTCTCACTCTCAGCGTCAACCTTTTGCTGCCCTCGGTACTGGACAATCTGCAGGGGACCGCACAGTCCACAGGACGGCCCAGCAAGTGGAGGGACGCGGAGGTCCTGTTAGGGCTGGAGGGGAGCCCTGGCCCCTCTGCAGACCATCCCTGCTCCTTGTCCTCCCTCCTGGGTACCCTGACACAATCGGTGCTCCCATGGGGCCACTCGCCTGCACCCAGGAGACCTTGTCACCCAAGGGATCCCTGATTGCTACTGCAGATTCCCCACCGCCACTTGCTCTGCTCTTGCTGGGGCGCGGTCGCCGGCAGCCTCCTGGTTCTCCTGCCCAGGCCTCCTCAGTCTCCCTTTGTGGCCACTTCGCCTGTGTGTGTCCTTAAATGACAGTGCTCCCTGAGCTATCCTGACCCCCACTCCTTCTTTTCCAACTCATCCTGGAAGACCTCACTTGCTCCCTGGCTTCAGCTGCCGTCCCTGTGTCCATCATGGGACCCTTGCTTCCCGCCAGAACGGAGGAAGAGAAATTGGATTTCCCCTCCCACCTTTAACAACGAGAGCAACAGGCTAAACAGATGACAGTGACTCTCAGACCCCGGACAACAGACCAGGGAGGCCCATCATCTCTCAGAGAGGGGAAATCTGAGAAGTGTACCCCACAACACCCGACTGACTGCCTGGAGACTGCTCCAGCTGCCCAGGGGAGCCCCGTGGTCTCCTTGAGTTGAGAATCTGGGGAGGCCAAGGCAACTGGAATTCCCAGGGCCAAGATTCAGAAAAGAAGGCCTGGTGTGGTGGCTCAAGCCTGTAATCCTAGCACTTTGGGAGGCCAAGGCGGGTGGATCACTTGAAGTCAGGAGTTTGAGACCAGCCCAGCCAACATGGTGAAACCCTGTCACTACTAAAAACACAAAAACTAGCCGGGTGTGGTGGTGGGTGCCTGTAGTCCCAGCTACTCAGGAGGCTGAGGCAGGAGAATTGCTTGAACCCAGGAGGCGGAGCTTGCAGTGAGCTGAGATAGTGCCACTGCACTGCAGCCTGGGCAACGGAGTGAGACTCATCTCAACAAAAAAAAAGATTCAGAGAAGAGAGCGCCACACGCCAGTGACCCCAAATTCCCACAGCTGTCGGCAGGGTCGCTGAACCCCCGCCCACTTACAGGTCTACTGGACATCTCCAGCTACCAAAAATGAGAGCATCCCATCCCCTCTTCCCCCTGCCCTCACTCTTTGCTGGGGTTCTCATGAACACCTCCCAACCCCCAACCCCCAACCCCCCACATCCAGACACTTGCCAAATCCAGTCCTTTCTACGGCCTAACCATCACTCAACTCAGCCCACCTCTGTGAACCCAGGCCCCCAACCCTGACTCCTCCAGCTGCTCAGGGAGCACCTGCCTTCACTCCCTCCCCCAGTGCACTCTCTGCGGGGCAGGAAAAGGACAGGTAGAATGGGGTAGACGCCATAAAATAGGTGAGGCTGGCGCGGTGACTCACGTTGCAGTCCCAGCACTTTGGGAGGCCAAGGCAGGTGGATCGCTTGAGCCCAGGAGTTCAAGACCAGCCTGGGTAACATGATGAAACCCCATCTCTACTAAAATTAACAAAATTAGCTGAATGTGGCGGCGCGAGCCTGTGGTGATAGCTACTCAGGAGGTTGAGATAAGAAGATAGCTTGAGCCAGGAGGTTGAGGCTCCAGTGAGCTATAATCGTGCCACTGCACTCCAGTCTGAGCAAGAGTGAGATCTTGTCTCTAATAAATAAAAATTTTAAAAAAAAATTTTTTTTGAGACAGAGTCTCACTCTTGTTGCCCAGGCTGGAGTGCAATGGCACAATCTCGGCTCACTGCAACCTCTGCCTCCCAGGTTCAAGCGATTCTCCTACCTCAGCCTCCTGAGTAGCTGGGACTACAGGTGCCCGCCACCACGCCTGGCTAATTTTTGTATTTTTAGTAGAGACGGGGTTTCACCATGTTGGCCAGGCTGGTCTCGAACTCCTGACCTCAGGTGATCCACCCTCCTCAGCCTCCCAAAGTGCTGGGATTACAGGCATGAACCACCGAGCCTGGCAAAACTAAAATTTTGATAAGGTAAGCCCACAGAACACCCAGAGAGGAGAGCCCTGTGGGAGGAGGCCTGCCCCAGCTGCCAGCCTCCTGTGGGCCCAGGCTCACCTCACAGTGGTAACATGCCACGTGGTAGTCTCTGTCCATGGACACCACACGGATGGTTGTCTCGCAGCCCTGGAGGAAGAGAAGGAGTTCACACACGATGAGCATGTGGGGACTGGAGGCAAACTGCGTGAGTGTACACTCCCACACACCACGCTCCTGTCCCGGCGGAGGTGCACGCCCGCCCCGGGGAGCACTGCCACGCTGCTTCTGTGGGGCGGGACAGGCTCCAGCAGGTGCACACACACAGACACATGCGGGCCTTAGGCGTCCTCCACGATCACAGCCCACAGTACGCACAAAGGCCCACAAGAGTGTCACGTGTTTGTCAATGGATGTGGACATTATTTTCACCTCACTGATCCTTTTTTTTTTTAAGAGACAGGGTCTCTCTCTGTTGCCCATGCTGGAGTGCAGTGGTGCAATCACAGCTCACTGCGGCCTCAAACTCCTGGGCTCAAGCAATCCTCCTGCCTTAGCCTCCCAAGTAGCTGGGACTACAGGCATGCACAACCACACCCAGCTAATTTTTTATTTTTTTTGTAGAAATGGGGTCTCACTAGGCGGCCCAGGCTGGTCTCAAACTCCTGGCTTCAAGCAATCATCCCACCTTGGCCTCCCAAAGTGCTGGGATTACAGGCGTGGGCCCCTGTGCCCGGCCTGTTTTCACTTCCTTGGAGTCTCAAAAGGGCACTGCCAGTTCTGCTTTGCCAGGCACACCAGCCTGGGACAGAGCCAGCACTGTGGGAAGACCCCAGGCCAGGAGAGCTGTAGCACCCATGGGTGGCTCCCGCACAGACCACGTCCATCTCTCATCTGCTCCCCCAGCACCCCCACCTCAGCCTGCAGAGCTGAGAAGACCCAGGGAACGGCCCTTCCATCAATGGAGAATGGAGCAGAGGCTGGCAGTGGGGCAGCTGAGCGGCAGGGGCCACCACTTCCCTCGACCTTGTGCCAGGGGACAGCTGTACCCCACGTACACAAGCACAACACACATCCCTCAGCCCTGAAAGATCTGCGGAGAAGCACCTGCTCATCCCTCCCACTGTCGCCCAAGACCTGGGCTAGACCCAGGCTAGACAGGACAGCAGCCGGCTGGGCCAGGCACCTGATCATCTCTGGGTGAGTGGCTCCTACCTGTGCAGGGAGGATAGGACGGGCACAGGAGGCGCATTTTGGTGCAAAAACCCTAGAGAAATAAAGGAAACCAGAAGTGATCAGCTGAGTGACCAGAGGCCAAGGGCACAAGCACAGGGGCACCCACAGGAACCCACTGACGTAGCCCAAGTATCAGGCCCTCTCTCCCTGTGTGCACACCTCGGGGCAGACAGGGAACAGCTTCTGCCATGCCTTCCTGTACTGGCCTCTTCTTTTTTTTTTTTTAATAGAAATGGGGTCTCACTATGTTGCCCAGGCTGGTCTCAAATTCCTGGGTTCAAGCGATCCACCCACCTCGACCTCCCAAAGTGCTGGGATTACAGGCATGAGCCACCATGCCCGGCCCTGGCCTCTTATCTGACTGCTCATTTCATCTCCACCCAATCACCTCCTCCAGGATGCCTTCAGGTTCTGCTCTGCCATCTGCCCCCATGTTTCCTGTGAGTTCTTAATGTCCAGGTCTGGGACACCACTAGCTAGGACCACTGTGAGACCTGGCTTCACCCTGAGTACCAGGGACCTCTGCCCAGGACTCCAATCCCACGGAAGGCCCTGCTCAGAACCAGAGCTCCCAGGAATAAACCTGGAGTCACGGTAGGAGGAAACAGATCAGGGATCAGACAGGCAGGAGAAGGGGGCTGCAGAGATCCCAAGCCCCTGCCCCAGCTGAAAGAGGCCTGGCCTGGCAGGGGATGGAGGGGAGGAGGGGGAAAGATGGTGGGTACTGCAGCCAGGAGGGTCCCCTGTGCCAGGAGTAGAGAAGCATGCAGGCCACGATAGGGAGAGAAGAGGCAAAAGACAGCTGGTGGCCGGACCACCAGGAGAGGGGATGCAGGCAGAGACACATGCCTGCCCCAAGCCCAGGTGTACAAGGGGAGGCGGAAGGCAAAAGGCCAAGAACAAAGGGCAGTCAGTCCAGCAGGAAAAAAATGCTTCCAGAGGAGCCAGGGAGGACGGCCCGAGTCCCGCCTGCTCCACAGCACCAGCAACTCACGTGTGATAGTCTCGCACGCAGTAGATGTTGTTCTCCACGTCCACGGTGAAGGGAACCCCGTCCAGGCACTCATTGCACACGGAGCACCGGAAGCAGCCTGGGTGGTAGGACTTGCCCAGGGCCTGCAGGATCTGTGGGCGGGGCACACTGAGGGGTCAGCGCGGGCAGGAGGCTCAGCACCGCCCTGGGAGAGGCTCTGGCCCTGAACCCCTGGCAGGTCTGGAGCAGGGGAGACGGTAGAGTCCTCAGACTCCACCCACGTCAGAGGGGCTCCAGGAGGCTGGGGCAGGGGCTCACCATTTCCATGATGAGATGTCCACACACGCTGCATTTGTCGGCCGTCTGCTGGAACCCGGAGTACTGGGAGGGGACACAGGATCCAGGACATTGTGTGACAAAGGGGCACTCGCGGCCCAGCTAGCACCTGCCTCCTGGCCTCAGGTCTCCACTCGAGTCAGAATGAGGGTCCCTGCCCCACCTCCCACCCCTGGCACTGCCAGGGCACAGCTTGGACTCACCAGGAAGTCCTCCTGGCAGTACACTTTCTCACCCACGTTGTAGAACGCCTTCCCACGGAGTCGTCTCCCTGCAAGGGTGAGGGTTGAGAGGGGTCCCTGGAACGCTGGGGACCAGGGATGGAGCCGTGCTTCCAGCTCTCAGCACCCTCCTCCAACAGATGAGACACTGGGTTATGGGTGGTTTTCTAAATTTCCCTTTAATATTATGTTGTTATTGTTATAATAACAAAATTTCAGAAAAAAATTAAACAGAACACATTGTCGACAGAGTTATTTAAAAAGGTTGCCAAAACAAATATATGAATAAATATTTTGCTCATGTAAATACATGTGTTGGTTAATAAACACATTCACTTGAAGATCAGTTGAATTCACAGCAAATTTTCGGGAATGAATCTTTTTTTTTTTTTTTTTTTGATACAGAGTATCACTGTGTCGCCCAGGCTGGAGTGCAGTGGCGTGATCTTGGCTCACTGCAACCTCTGACTCCCGGGTTCAAGCGATTCTCCTGCCTCACCCTCCCAAGTAGCTGGGACTACAGGTGCCTGGCTAATTTTTGTATTTTTAGTAGAGATGGGGCTTCACTATGTTGGCCAGGCTGGTATTTTTTTTTTTAAGACAGGGTCTCGCTCTGTCACCTAGGCTGGAGTGCAATGGCACAATCATGGCTCACTGCAGCCTCAACCTCCCAAGCTCAAGTGATCCTCCTGCCTCAGCCTCCCAGCCTCCTGGGAGGCTGAGGCAGGAGCATCGCTTGAGCCCAGGAGTTCAAGACCAGCCTGGGCAACATAGCAAGACCCTGTCTCTAGGAAAAAAAAAAAAATTAGCCAGTCGTGGTGGTACGTGTCTGTAGTCCCACTACTCATTGTGGGGCTGAGGCAGGAAGATCACTTGGGCCCAGGAAGTCAAGGCTGCAGTGAGCCGTGATTGGGCCACTGCACTTCAGCCTGGATGAAGACATAAGACCCTGCTTCTTAAAAAAAAAAAAAAAAAAAAAGACATTGAACACAAGATCAGCCATTAAAGAGTATGCACTATAGGAATGCATTTATGTTAAGTTCTAGAATGGACAAAACTTTTCTACAGTGGTAGAAATCAGAATACCAGTTGGGCAAATGTGATGGGGGACATACAGGGATCAACTGAAAAAGGGCAAGATAGGGCCAGGCGCGGTGGCTCACGCCTGTAATCCCAGCACTTTGGGAGGCCAAGGCAGATGGATCACGAGGTCAGGAGATCGAGACCATCCTGACTAACACTATGAAACCACATCTCTACTAAAAATACAAAAAATTAGCCGGGCGTGGTGTTGCGCGCCTATAGTCCCAGCTACTCGGGAGGCTGAGGCAGGCGAATCACTTGAAACTGGGACACGGAGGTGGCAGTGAGCCGAGATCTCGCCACTGCACTCCAGCCTCGGGGAGAGCGAGACTCTGTCTCAAAAAACAAGTGGGGGTACAAGATAGAAGTTTCTAGGGTATTTTACCGGGCAAGGTGACTCACACCTATAATCCCAGCACTGTGGGAGGCCAAGGCAGGCGGATCACAAAGTCAGGAGATCGAGACCATCCTGGCCACATGGTGAAATCCCATCTCACTAAAAAAATACAAAAATTAGCTGGGAGTGGTGGCGTGTGCCTGTAATCCCAGCTACTCGGGAGGCTGAGGCAGAAGAATCGCTTGAACCAGGGAGACGGAGGTTGCAGTGAGCTGAGATCACACCACTACACTCCAGTCTGGCAATAGAGCGAGACTGTCTCAAAAAAAAAATATAAAATTAAAATTAAAAAACGTGCAAATACATAAAAGATGTCTGATTAAGGCAAGGTCTGGAAGAACAGTGGGCAAACCAAGAGTGGATATTTATTAGGGTGGTTGGATTATAGTTCCTTTTTTCTTTTTATAACTTTGTCTAGGTTAAACTATAACACTTATAGTTTATGTTGGGTGTAAAATTATGATCAAAAATAAATTGTAGGCCAGGCGCAGTGGCTCACACCTGTACTCCCAGCACTTTGAGAGGCCGAGGCAGGCGGATCACTTGAGCTCAAGAGTTTGAGACCAGCCTGGCCAACATGGTAAAACCCCATCTCTACCTAAAAAAAAAAAAAAAATTAGCCGAGCGTGGTGGCACGTGTGCCTATAATCCCAGCTACTTGGGAGGCTGAGGCAGGAGAATCTCTTGAAACCGGGAGGCAGAGGCTGCAGTGAGCCGAGATCATTCCACTGCACTCCAGCGTGGGCAACAGATTAAGACTCTGTCTCAACAACAACAACAAAAATAGATAGCAGGAAAAAGAAATATTAGTCGTATGTCCAGACAGGCAGAAGGTCCTTCATGGGCTTCTGACGCTGCTCCCAGGCAGCTGGGTGACATGAGCGCATTAGTGCCCTGCGTGGCACAGAGGATCCACAGCTGACGACCAGGGGGCAGCCCTGTCCTACAGCCAGCAAAAGGCTCCTCAGGGGCCCCATGCCTCCTCCCCAGACAGAGTCCTCCACAGCCCAGCCTGGGCCAGAGCCAGGTGGTCCATCTGCCTGGACTCAGGGGCAAGGCAGTTTGAGGGGAATGGGGATGATGTGGCAGGTCCCCTTCACAGAGCTACCCAGGGCACGAGGTTACCTACCACACGAGTCGCAGGTGAAGCAGTCAGTGTGATAAAGACTCCCCATTGCCTGGCACGCCTGCTGGGCTCCGTAGATGCCAAGCCCACACTTGATGCAAATGCCTAGGAGAGGAGAGGCAGGAGAGAGCAGGGGTTAGCGCCACAGCCTATGCCACACCGACGGACTCCCCGTCTTGACACCGCCCACCCGCTTGACCTGGGGGATGCTAACTTTCCTAGGCCAACATCACTCGATTACTGATGACCAACATGGGCACCATCAGGGTGGCCACGACCCAGGGATTGCCGCTGCTGCTGTCTGAGGATTCAAGGGCTTGGCCGAGCACCCAGGGCAGAGTCGGAGCTAATCAAAGCTGTCCATCACAACTGTTCTGATAGATTCTTTTGGTTTTTGATTTATAAATAGGGACAGAGTCTCACTATGTTGCCCAGGCTGGTTTCAAACTCCTGGGTTAAAGCGATCCTCCTGCCTTGGCCTCCCAAAGTGCTGGCATTACAGGCATGAGCCACTGCACCCAACCACTTTTAGGTTTTTTTTGGGAGAGAGACAGGATCTCGCTCTGTCCCACAGGCTGGAGTGCAGTGGTGCAATCACAGCTCACTGCAGCCTCAACCTCCTAGGCTCAAGCGATCCTCCAGCCTCAGCCTCCCAAGTAGCTAGGACTTCTGGCACATGCCATCACGCACGGCTGATTTTTTCTTTTGTAGAGACAGGGTATTGCTGTGTTGCCCAGTTGCCCAGGGTGGGCTCAAACAATCCTCCTGCCTGGGCTTCCCCAAGTGCTGCAATTACAGGCGTGGAGTCACCACACCCAGCCTATCATGGTATCTTTATACCAAGACAGTTGCTTTAAGCCCTTTCATCCATGGCCTGCTCTTGGACTGAGGGAAAATCCTTCATGCTGTTTGTGAACCAAATCCTGTTCTTCAACATGTTTTGTGACCCAGACACAAAGAATGAAGACCACATGGGCACTCAGGGGCAGTCACCACCCCTCTGCAGCCACTCTGTCCTCCTCTGTACCCACTCTGTCCTCCTCTGTACCCACTCTGTCCTCCTCTGTATGCCAGGGTCCACTTATTCTCTTGGTCAGTCAGCACACAGATGAGTCACATGCCCCTAAGGTCAGGCACCACTCAGTCTGCAATGCACCCAGGTCCCCACCTTCAAGAAGCTTGCATCGAGTGGAAGGTGGCAGAGAACAGCAGTCAAATAACGTCAGGCAGAGACGAGTGCTACGGCGTTAGATGCAGGATTTTTTTTTTTTTTTTTTTTTTTTAGATAGAGTCTCGCTCTGTCGCCCAGGTTGGAGTGCAGTGGCGTGATCTCGACTCACTGCAACCTCCACCACCCAGGTTCAAGAGATTCTCCTGCCTCAGCCTCCCGAGTAGCTGGGATTACAGGCATGTGCCACCACACCTGGCTAATTTTTTGTATTTTTAGTAGAGATAGGGTTTCACCATGTTGGCCAGGCTGGTCATGGATTCCTGACCTCAGGTGATTCACCCACTTTGGCCTCCCAAAGTGCTGGGATTACAGGTGTGAGCCACTGCTCCCGGCCTTTTTTTTTTTTTTTAGGAGAGTCTCGCTCTGTTGCCCAGGCTGGAGTCCAGTGGTGTAATCATAGCTCACTGCAGCCTTGACATCCTGGGCTCAAGCAATCCTCCCACCTCGGCCTCCCAAGAAGCTGGGTCCACAGGCAGGTACTGCTATGCCCGGCCAAGGATGTGTGATTTTTAAACCAGGTATTCACAGAAGCCTCACTCACCAGGTGATACTTGAGCAAAGGCCTGAAGGAAATAAGGAAGCGGGCTGGGTGCAGTGGCTCATGCCTGTAATCCCAGCACTTTGGGAGGCCGAAGTGGGAGGATCACTTGAGCCGAAGAGTTCCAGACTAGCCTGGGAAACACAGCGAGACCCTCATCTCTACAAAAATTTTTAAAAATATCCAGGCATGGTGGCATGCACCTGTGGTCCCAGTTACTCAGGAGTCTGAGGCAGGAGGATCACTTAAGCCTGGGAGTTTGAGGCTGCAATGAGCTATGATCATGTCACTGCACTCCGGCCTGGGTAACAGAGTGAGATGTCTCCAAAAAAAGAAGAGGCCAGGCACAATGGCTCACGCCTGTAATCTCAGCACTTTGGGAGGCCGAGGTGGGTGGATCAGGAGGTCAGGAGTTCAAGACCAGCCTGGCCATGATAGTGAAACACCATCTCTACTAAAGATACAAAAATTAGCCAGGCGAGGTGGCAGGCACCTGTAATTCCAGCTACTTGGGAGGCTGAGGCAGCAGAATCACTTGAACCTGGGGGGCGGAGGTTGCAGTGAGCTAAGATCCCGCCACTGCACTCCAGCCTGGCCGACAGAGTAAGACTCCGTCTCAAAGAAAAAAAAAAAAAAGGAAGCAGACAGACATGAGGGTCGCTGCTGTGCAGGTGCCTATGATCAGTGGATGGAATCAGGGACCACACCTGTGTACTCAGCATGCAGCGGGGAAGGTGGAAAGGAGAGGGGTGACCAGCAACGCCAGGGCCAAGCCTGGCTCTAGCCTCAGGGCACTCCCTGGCCAGCCCTCCTGGAAACCCAGACAGTAGGCAAGTAGCCCATACATCTCGTGTCCCCTTTACAGGGTCACCCAGGGCCTCCCATGCCACACAGGGCATGAAGATGGCCTCCACCTGCCCTCTGGACCGTAAATCTTCTGCCAGCTCCAGGCCATGCTGCCCTCCCCCGACCTTCTTGCTTTCTCCTTTCATCTCTCTCCTTAAATAACCTCCTCTCCCTCCTCCACCAGCCGCCCCATTCCCCGCCTTTCCTCAGTCAACAAAGAGAACATGGCCCACACTTGGTCATCTCCTAGCCGTCCCCATCTATGGACTTTCCATTCTGATCTTGCTATCGGGTGGCCCACCTCTTCCTCTCTGGTTTCTAGGATGCAGCCTGCACCCAGCTTTCTGGGTCTTCATCTCCCTTCCTGCTTTCCTGGGTACCCCCTGCTCTGCCCAGGGCCTCCCATGCCTCACTTTACCACTGGGCAGAGAAAGCCAGTTCAGATGCCTTCAGAACCAGGCAGGGGCCAGGCGCAGTGGCTCACGCCTGTAATCCCAACACTTTCGGAGGCCGAGGAGGGTTGATCACTTGAGGCCAGGAGTTTGAGACCAGCCTGGCCAACATGGTGAAACCTCATCTCTACTAAAAATATAAAAATTAGCCGGGCGTGGTGGTGGACACTAATCCCAGTTGCTTGGGAGGCTGAGGTGGGAGAATCGCTTGCATCTGGGAGGCGGAGGTTGCAGTGAGCCGAGATCACACCACTGCACTCCAGCCTGGGTGACGGAGCAAGACTCCGTCTCAAAAAAAAAAAAAAAAAAAAGCAGGCAGGGACTGGGCTTGGTGGCTCATGCCTGTAATCTCAGCACTTTGGGAGTCTGAGACAGGAGGATCACTTGAGGCCAGGAGTTCAGGCTGCAGTGAGCTGTGATCGCACCACTGCACTCCAGCCTGGCAACAGAGCTAGATCCTGTCTCTAAAAAAAAAAAATTAAAAAGAAACAAAGGGAAGGGGCCAATGAAAAGAGGAGAACTGAAGGTGCAGGAGGTGGAGGTTGGTGATGGAAGGACCCTTGTCCTCTCAGACGGCAGGAGAGTCAGACCCACATGGACTGGAGCACCTACAGGGAAGGGGCAGGACGGTGGTGAAGACAGACTACAACTGCTGACCTCAAGATTCCAAGGGAAGTCAGAAGCAAAGGTAGGGGTCCCAGGAGGGAGGAAGGTTGTTGAGAGAATAAGAGAGGAAACTGACAAAGGCGGCCAGGCGCGGTGGCTCACGCCTGTAATCCCAGCACTTTGGGAGGCCAAGGTGGGCAGATCACGAGGTCAGGAGATGAGACCATCCTGGTTAACACAGTGAAACCCTGTCTCTACCAAAAATACAAAATATTAGCCAGGTGTGGTGGTGGGCACCTCTAATCCCAGCTACTTGGAAGGCTGAGCCAGGAGAATCACTTGAACCTGGGAGGCGGAGGTTGCGGTGAGCTGAGATCTCACCATTGAACTCTACCCTGGGCAACAAGAGCAAAACTCTGTCTCAAAAAAAAAAAAAAAACAAACTGACAAAGGCTTAGGGTGTCAGTGGTGACAGGAAGACCTGCGTGGTGAGGATGACAAACCTCCCACAGTCCTGAGGGGTTCCTCAGAGCCCTTCCCAGCCTGGTATAGTGGCCGCAGAGGGGGTCAAAGCATGGGCTCAGAGTCGGGGTTCTGCTGGGCAGACGGCGATTACAGGAATGAGAGGAACTGCTGAGAAGCAGACTGGAGTTACCACTAAGGACTGCTAGAGTGAAGGGAAAACGGTGTGGCCCTGGGAGTGGGTGGCTGAAGAGAAGGCAAGGAGGTCACCAAAGTTGAAAAGGTTCCGGAAGCCCAAGGCTGTTGGCTGGCTAATGGCAGCGGAACTTGGGGAGGGGAGAGGGGAAAGTTCCAAAGACATCAGTGAATGGCAGAGAGCAACCAAGAGGTCAGCTGGTACCAGGGCCAAGGACAGGAAGAGATGAGGGGTTGGACAGAGAGAAAAAAAGCTCTGGCCAGGCGTAGTGGCTCCCGCCTGTAATCCCAACACTGGGAAGCCAAAGAGGGAGGATCGCCTGAATCCAGAAGTTCAAGACCAGCCTGGACAACAAAGCAAGATCTCAGGTCTACAAAACATAAAAAAATGTAGCCGAGCATGGTGATGCACACCTGTGGTCTCAGCTACTCAGGAGGCTGAAGCAGGAGGATTGCTTAAGCCCAGGAGTTCAAGGCTGCAATGAGCGCTGATCTCACCACTGCACTCCAGCCTAGGTGAGAGGGTGAGACCCTGTCTCTAAAAAAAAAAAAAAATTAATTTAAAACAAAAAAGCCACACTCTGAGGACGAGGTTTATCAGAGATCACTCGAGCTTATGCTACCTGCAGATTTTCTTTTGTAAAATGCTGTATTATTCTGGTTGAACTCTATGAAACTGCCACTTTTGTAGCTCAACAAAGTCAAATATCATCAGAACCATATAGTTCAAACAAATAGTTGCCCATATTTTTTAAAATCAGGAAAGTGGGCCGGGCATGGTGGCTCACACCTGTAATCCCAGCACTTTGAGAGGCCGAGGCAGGTGGATCACCTGAGGTCAGAAACTCGAGACAAGCCTGGCCAACATGGTGAAACCTCATCTCTACTAAAAATACAAAAATTAGCCGGGCATGGCGGTACGCACCTGTAATCCCAGCTACTGGGGAGGCTGAGCCAGGAGAATCACTTGAACCCGGAGGTGGAGGCTGCAGTGAGCTGAGATCGCACCATTGCACTCCAGCCTGGGCGACAGAGCAAGACTCCGTCTCAAAAAAGTTTAAAAAAATAAAGTAAACAAAATCAGGAAAGTATTACTGAATCTCAATTTCTAGTTTTTCTTGAAAACAAAATAAAAAAGGTCTATCATCACTCCTCTAACACTCTCAGGGCGCTACAACAGCCCGATCTGAGCAGCTTTTTTTTTTTTTTTTTTTTAAAGAAAAGACAGGATCTCACTCTGTCATCCAGGCCAGAGTGCAGTGGCACGATCATAGCTCGTTGCAGCCTGGAACTCCTGGGTTCAAGTGCTCCTCCCACCTCAGCCTCCCAAAGTGCTGGGATTACAGGTGTGAGCCACCGCACCCGGCCTAGCAGCTCCTCAGAAAAAAAATGTGCCACCACACCCTACCTTCTTGTATCATCTCCACATTACCTGCCTGGGACCTCAGCCACCCCTATATCATATAAAGATTCAGGGGTGTCTACAGAACACCCCCCTCCCCCGGGCTCTGCAGTACACAGGGGCCGGGAAATGGGCACTCTCCCCTGCAGAGGGCACTGGAAAGCATGCCCTTCAAAACTCAGCCCCAGCCTCTCTTCCTGGCACCTGCCTGACACGGGAGATGACAGCTCCTGGCACATCTCCCTGCTCCCAGGCCATCCAACAGGCGCCACGAGACCTGCCCAGCCACAGAGTCTCACCATGACCTCACAGATGGGAGGCGCTCTCCATCCCAAAGCAGGCGCACCTCCTCTTAGCCCACATATGCCCTCGACCACCTGAGCCCTCTGGGCTGCAACCCCAGGGGGAAGAGCGGGGCAATCTCTCATCCCGCCTGGCCTCCTCTGCTCATTCTTCCCTCTCTCTGGAATGCCCCCACCTGGCCCCTCACTGACAGACTCCTCACCCCTCAAGATCCAGTTCAGGGCCGGGCACGGTGGCTCACGCCTGTAATCCCAACATTTTGGGAGGCTGAGGCAGGCGGATCATGAGGTCAGGAGATCAAGACCATCCTGGCCAACATGGTGAAACCCCGCCTCTACTAAAAATACAAAAATTAGCTGGGCGTGGTGGCGCATGCCTGTAATCCCAGCTACTGGGGAGGCTGAGGCAGGAGAATCGCTTGAACCAGGGAGTCGGAGGTTGCAGTGAGCCAAGATCACGCCACTGCACTCCAGCCTGGCGACAGAGCGAGATTCCGTCTCAAAAAAAAAAAAAAAAAAAAAAAAAAAAGATCCAGTTCAGGGCAGCCGTGAGCTGCTGACACCATTGAACGCTCAAAGACACAAACCCCAGGACAGCCACGGTCCCAGGCATGGTGACCATCCATCCACCAAAGCCAGGTGCTTAATACAGAAGGCGGGTTGGGAAGTTCTCGCCCCAGGCCCCACAGTATACCTCTGCCCCGCTCACAATCTCACCCCAAGAGCTGTCCCAAGAACTAGAGATCAGGGGGCCTGGGCCACACTGGGAAGTGGAGGCTGTGAGGCTGCTGGGCTTTGCAGATGCACCTGCAGCAGGATTCCTTTAGGAAACATCCTATGTCCACAGCACAGTCCGGGCGAGGGCAGCCCCGTGTGACTGGCACGGTTCCCCTCTCCCGCAAAGTGGGCTTTTCTTCCCTCACACAGTCTCCCTCTCCAGCCGCTACCATCACCAAAGCCTGGGTCAGGCGGTATCCGGTGGTACCTGGGCCACTCCATCTCCCGGTTGCTGTCCACACCCATACCGTGGCGGGGCAGACGGGGAAGCACCCCTTTCTGCTCATCACGAAGCATGAAAGGATCAGATAGAATGAGAGCACCAAACGCAAAGAAGAAAAGATCAGGCCGGGCGCACTGGCTCAAGCCTGTAATCCTAGCACCTTGGGAGGCCGAGGAGGGCGGATCGCTTGAGCCCAGGAGTTTAA
Organism: Homo sapiens; assembly: GCF_000001405.40. Lineage (NCBI taxonomy): Eukaryota > Metazoa > Chordata > Mammalia > Primates > Hominidae > Homo > Homo sapiens. The sequence goes on along the minus strand of NW_025791809.1, from coordinate 148,261 downwards.
GACCAGCCTGGGCAACATAGGGAGACTCTGTCTCTACAAAAAAAAAAAAAAAAAAAAAGTAAGAAGAAGAAAAGCTGGGCATGGTGGTGTGCACCTGTAGTCCCAGCTTCTCGGGAGGCTGAGGCGAGAGGATCGCTTCAGCTTGAGAGGCGACGGCTACAGTAAGCCGAGGACGCGCCGCTGCACTCCAGTCTCGGCGACAGAGGAAGACCCTGTCTCAAAAAAAAAAAAAAAAGAAGAAAGAAAAAAAAAAAAGAAGAAAGAAGAAAAAATTATCAGAAAATGGCTCAGTGTGCCCATGAACCTGACTTGCCTGTTAAGTTAGGAACCGCACATCAACTCACTCGGCCAGAACCCCTCGTGTGTCGGGGGACCCAGAGGCAGGGGTGAAGCCGCTGCTGGGGATCCAGGCGCACTCACTCACCCTTTGCGCTCCCCAGTCCCCAGGGGATGCACCTTCCTCGTCCCAACCCCGTGCACTGCTGCACCCCCAGCCAGCCCCGTGCTCTCCTCCGCTGATCCGGCCGCCTACCCGAGGCAGTCTCGGAACCCCGGACCCCAGCCATGCGCGCAGGGAACTGCCGGGCCGAGCGAGCTCACCGAAGTAGTCCCGCGCCGTGCGCGCCTCGAGCGCCCGCTCCAGCTCCCGGGTGAGCGCCTCCAGCCGCCGCTCGGCCGCGCTTGGGCCGCCCTCCCGGCCAGGGGGCAGCGGGAGTGCAGGCAGCGGGAAGGGAGCCGGCCCCGCAGGCTCCGGGGAGCGAGCGGGCGCGGGGCAGGCGCCGGGCGGGAGGAAGTCAGCGTAGGCGCCGGCCGAGCCCCGGGAGCCGAGGCTGGAAACGCTGGAGCGGGCGCTGCCCACCGAAGGCGGCCCGGGACCGGGACGCGGGTCCGAGCGACCGGAGCGCGGGCTGCCGTGGCGCTGGTCGTAGCCCAGGCTGATGCCGCTGGATCGGGCGCTGCCGCCACCGCCGCCGCCGTCGGACCCCGCCAGGCTGGCCCGTGGGCTGCCCGCAGGCTGCGCGCTGAGCTCCGGAACCGCCGCGCGCCGGGGACCCCGCTCCCCGCGGCTCAGTCCGTCCGCCCCGGCCTCGGGGCCGCCGCTGCCCTTCCCTCTGCGGCCCAGCGCGGGCGCCGCCTCGTCTCCAGGCCCAGGCCGCGGCCCCCGCCGCCCCCGACCGGGAGAGCCGCACCCGGGCTCCAGCTCCCGCAGGGCCAGCCCGGCCAGGAGTAGGGCCGCCTCGTCCGCGCCCGCCCTGGAGCGCTGCATGGCCCGGCCCGCCGGCCCTGGCGCGTCACCTCCGCCTCCGCTTCCCGCCGCCGCTCCGGCCGGGCCGCCGCATCGTCCGCCCGAAGCCCGGAGCCCGCCCCGGGACCCCTGGGCGCGGGGCGGGGCGGGGCCGGCGCCGGGCCGGGGTCGTTCCGGCGGCCACGCGCGGGCCGGGGGACGCGGCGCCCTGCTCGGCGGCGCGCGCGGCGGAGGAATGTAAGCTCCCAGGCGCCGGGCCGCGCCCCCTCCTCGCCGCGGCCTCGCGCGGGGCGGAGGGACTCCTTTGCGGGGGCAGGAATGCGAGGAAGGAGACGGCGCTGCGGCCTCTGGAATGTGGGGGGAGTGGCGGCGGCCGCGCTGCGCCGGGACCTCGGAGGGGCGTGGAGGCCGGGCCAGGACGCAGGGGCGGGCGGCGGAGGCACCGCGGGGAGAGCCCAGGGTCTGCGGGGCGCCCGGGCCGTCGGGCCGCTGGGAAGAGCTCGGATTTCCGCAGGCTGAGCTGGAGGCAGCTGGCGCCATCCGGGCCGGAGAGATCCAAGCAGTCGACAGCTTTCCCCACATCCCGCCCCATCTCCCTTCCCTGCGCCGCCTTGCTCTCCGGCGCTGCAGGGCCGACCCAGCTCAGCTTGGAACCCACGGCGCTTCGCCCGTCCCGCGCCCAGGAATACTGTGCGCCTAGCGCAGATGCGTCCCCACGACCCCCTGCCTGGCCCGGGGCCATGTGGCCGCGCACCGGCCTCTGAAGCCCCCATCTGACTGCTGGGGAAGGCGCCCAGAACTAGGAGCGGGTTGGTTGGGGACTGGTCCTCGCGCTGGGTCGCTTCGCCCAGGCCCCCAAGGCCAGGCTAGAAGCAGGCCTCAGGCTCAGAGCCGGTGGGCGGCGAGCCTCCCCTGTGGCCATCACAGGCAGTCCCCGTGAAATATGGGGACTCCTCCCTTTTCCAGCACCTGCATCCAGGGTGGTGGGTGAGGCTTCGAGGGGAGGTCCTGGAACCAGCGGGGCCATAGGGGCCACATAGGTGGGGAATCGAGAGGTGACTAGGGCTTCGTGCCCAAGGACACAACTAAAATCCCTTGTACAAGTCACACGGCTATAGGGAAGAAAACCAAACCGTTATCTGTCAGGGCCTGATGGATCCAAGAAAAGTGTTGCGTGAGAGAGTACTGTTTTCCAGGCCCTCTCTGCTCAGAGATTTTCGGGAAGGCGCCTACAGTGGCTCAGCGCGCAGGGAGCCCGCACGGGAACTGTCCCGGCCAGACCGCCCAGGGCAGTGTGGCCTCAACACCACTGAGCACCCGCTGGGGCCGCTAACCCCAGCACCTTCCCATAGCCTGCGGAGTTCCAGCCCCTGCCCCACCAGGGTAGGGGAAGTGGAAGCAAGCATTTCGTGTGCGCGGAGGGTGGGGGAGTTGCGCTGTTTTGTTTTTTTCAGACAAGGTGTCGCTCTGTCCCCCAGGCTGGAGTACAGTGGTGTGATCACAGCTCACAGTGATCACACACACCCCAGAGTCTCAACCTCCTGGGCTCAAGCAATCCTCCCACCTCGGACTCCTGAGTACGTAGGAGTACAGGCGCACACCACCACACAAAACGCTGAGATTACAGGCATGAGACTCCGTGCGGGGTCTAGAAGCCAGCATTTGGGAGAGCAAATACCCAGGGAAGCCAGGACATGAAAAATGGTCTACCTTTCAAATGAGAAAGGAAAAGCCAGTTCAGTCATATCACATTTCATGGACTGCATTATCTACTATTTAAAAATTACAATATTGGCAGGACTGTGGTGAAACAGTTGCACATATGCTACTGGTATGAGTGCAAATTGGGATATCCTTTTGGGAAGAGCAGTTTGGCGGTGTCAACATCCGCACAAACGAACACGAAACTTAGAAGCAGTAATACTGCTGCTAAACATCTATTCAAGGGAAGTTATCAAAAATGCAGACAATAATCCAATCACAACCGTGTCGTATAATCCCAACATCATTTAGGTAATCTACAGCGGTCCCCAACCTTTTTGGCACCAGGGACTGGTTTTGTGGAAGACAATTTTTCCACAGACAGGGATGGGGAGGGTGGGAATGGCTTCAGGATGATTCAAGGGCATTATATTTATTGTGCACTTTATTTCTATTATTATTACATTGTAATATATAATGAAATAATTATACAACTCACTATACCATAGAAAGAGTGGGAGCCCTGTGCTTGTTTTCCTGCAACTAGACGGTCCCATCTGGGGGTGATGGGAGACAGTGACAGATCATCAGGCATTAGATTCTCATAAGGAGCACACAGCCTAGGTCCTTCGCATGCGCAGTTCACAATAGGCTTCGTGCTTCTGTGAGAATCGTGGTGGGACTCAGGTGGTAATGCTCCCTCGCCTCTGCTCACCTCCTGCTGTGTGGCCCAGTTCCTAACAGGCGGTGGTATACTGGTCTGTGGCCCAGGGGTTGGGGACCCCTGATCTATTCTGTCCTAGGATCTCCAGCCTTCTGAAAAGATGCTCAAAGGGAGCTCTCTGCATTTAAAGGCAGCTGTTGGGCTGAGTGTGATGTAATCCCAGTGCTTTGAGAGGCCAGTATGGGAGGATTGCTTAAGGCCAAGAGTTCAAGACCAGTCTGGGAAACATAGTGAGATTCCATCCCTACAAAACATTAAAAATTAGCTGCCAATGGTGGCACATGCCTGTAGTCCCAGGTATTTTGGGAATCTAAGGCGGGAGGATGCTTGAGCCCAGGAGGTCAAGGCTACAGTGAGCAGTGAGGGCACCACTGCACTTCAGCCTAGACAACAGAACGAGATTCATCTCTACAATAAAAAACAAAAAATTAAACTGGCGCGGTGACGGGCACTTGTAGTTCAGCTGTTCGGGAGACAGAGGCGGGAGGATTACTTGAGCCCAGGAGTCTGAGGTTACAGTGAGCTATAACTGTGCCACCACACTCTAGCCTGGGTGACAGAGCAAGACCCTGTCTCTACAAAAACAATAAAGTCAAGTATTTAATAACTGTTCTGGCTGGGCACGGTGGCTCACTCCTGTAATCCCAGAACACTGGGAGGCTGAGACGGGCGGATCACTTGAGCTCAGGAGTTTGAGACCAGCCTGGCCAACATAGCGAAACCCTGTCTCTATTAAAATACAAATACAAAAATTAGCTGGGTGTAGTCGTGCACGCCTGTAATCCCAGCTACTTGGGAGGCTGAGGCACAAGAATCGCTTGAACCCAGGAGGCAGAGGTTGCAGTGAGCCAAGATGACACCACTGCATTCCAGCCTGGGTGACACAGCAATACCCTGCCTCCAGAATAATAATAATAATAATAATAATAATAATAATAATAATAATAATAATAACAACTGTTCTTTCCCCACCTGCCCACTTAGAGCTTTCAAGATTTAAACTATATTCACATCCAGGGTCAGCTAAAACCTATTACTTGCTCTACTAGTAATAAATGACAACTACAAAACCCAGAAACAACCTAAAATGTTTGATATTTACCATTAGAATAGTTTAAGTACATCCTTGAAGTGGGAAATACATTAAGCAGTTATATTCAAAAGATTTAATGAATGGCTTGGGAATCAGACTATTGTGATGTTAGGTGGATTTGAAGTAGTCTGCAGAATTGTGGGGTCTCATCTCTACATTACCCAAATGTCCCCCTGACCCCATCTTCTATCTCCTCACTCCAGGGGTATTGAGTGATCTCAACAGACTGGCTCCTTCTGTCTGAGATGCACAGTCCAGGAGAAGGATGGGGATGGGGCTCTCTCAAGGGATTTAAAGCACTGTCCATGGACTCAATGTCCAGCCCCCACTGATTCCCCCTCTGTCCTCCCCTGTTGCAGGAATGTTCTTTGTGTTCACCTCTCTCTGGGCATTTTCCTCCTGAGTCCAGTGGTGTGCTGGTAAATGTCTAACAACCAGCTCTCTGGGGAGGAATTTGTATAAATCAGGAGCCCTGATGTGTAGCATTTGCCAATTACCATGGTATAAATACTCCCAGCATGGCCAATTTCAAGCTATAAAGATGGGGCCACTGAACTGAGCTGGAAAGAAATGGGTATAACCAGTTCTTGCAAGCTGGGATAAGCTGGCTCCACACACCGCTGCCTGAGTCCCACTGTTCCAAAGGAGGGGTTTCACTACACTGTGGCTTCCAGTTTATCATCCTCTCAAGTTAACTGGTCTTCCCTTTGTTAAGCAAAGACACACTTGGAGGCCAGAACAGGACATGTTCAATCTAGTCTTGCACCATGTCCTGAACCATCATCATCATCATCTTCCCAGAACCCAGGAGCTGACCCTACCCAGACTCTGTCCACGCCATGGTGATTTTTTGTTTGTTTTTTGTTTTGAGACGGAGTTTCATTCTTGTTGCCTAGGCTGGAGTGCAATGGCGTGATATCGGCTCACCGCAACCACTGCAACCTCCGCCTCCCAGGTTCAAGCCATTCTCCTGCCTCAGCCTCCCAAGTAGCTGGAATTACAGGCATCCACCACCATGCCTGGCTAACTTTTGTGTGTGCACGTGTGTGTGTGTGTGTATGTGTGTGTATATATATGTATGTGTGTGTATATATATGTATGTATATATATGTGTATATATATGTATATGTATGTGTGTGTGTGTGTGTGTCTATATATATATATATATATATATTTTTTTTTTTTTTTTTTTTTTTTTTTTTTGGAGAGACGGGGTTTCACCATGTTGGCCAGGCTGGTCTCAAACTCCTGACCTCAGGTGATCCACCCGCCTCGGCCTCCCAGAGTGCTGGGATTACAGGCGTGAGCCACCAAGCCCAGCCTACAATGGTGATTTTTTAAGGAGCCCCTCATGCCCCTCCTTGTAATCTAGCTTCCATTAGACCTCCTTAATTGTCTGTACTGTATGGACCCCAGGTATTGACAGAATTCAGGGGTTTTCTCATGGAGTCCTAGGCCACTTATCAATCAGCTGTGACTGGATAACGGGTTATGAGGGAAGGGGAATGGCAGCCAAACTCCACAGGAAGTTTCTGGGACCCACACTTCTTTCTCCTTAGCCTATGACAGTTTTTACCCTTGTCGAATTTCCAGCACCAGTCTCTCACCTGAAGCACACACACCTTTCCAGCTCAGCTCCTGGGGGCCACTCCTCCCACACACAGCACCAGGCTCAAGATGCACGTTCTGTCCTATCCACTGGGAGGGCTTTTTCCATCCCCTCTTCTCTGAGCACCCATCCTGTGTGCTGCCACGCTGAGAGGCAGCTTCCAGGAGCTCTAAGAGTCATAGAAACCAACCTCATACTCAAAAATATAATACCAGGCTGGGCACCCAAGGGAATTTTTTCAACCCCTCTTCTCTGAGGCCCCACTCTTTCTGCCAGATTGAGCCTAACTTCAATCTCTCCTGGTCCTGTTATCCCCTTTAGGCCTGAGGATGCAAGAAGATTCAAAGCATTGATCACTGAAGCCATGGATAGATTGGGGAACCAATCTAAGAATTAAGGCTAAGACATGATACTTGCAGCTTGCTTCCTTCCTGTTTCCATGGGGGTTTTTGTTTTTTGTTGTTGCTGTTTGTTTGGTGTGTGTGTGTGTCTGTAACATGATCCCACCCTGTCATCCAGGCTGGAGTGCAGTGATGCGATCATGGCTCAGCTCCCTGCAGCTTCGAGCTCCTGGTCTCCAGTGATCCTCCCACCTCAGCCTCCAGGTTAGCTAGGACTATAGGCGCATGCCACCATGCCAAACTAATTTTTGTTGTTGTTGTTGTTGTTTTTCGTAGAGTGAGGTTTCACCATGTTGCCCAAATTCCTGGACTCAAGCAATCCTCCTGCCTTGACCTCCCCAAGTGCTGGGATTCCAGGTACAAACCACTGCATCTGGCAAAGGCCCTCTTTTCTTGTCTTGAAGCCTTACCATGCACGCAGGAATGGGAATTTCTGCCCTAACTTTGTACCATGGTAAAAAACCCCAGCCAATCTACAGCTCAATGGGGAGGACCTATTTGGGGATGCCCAGATTAATGGAGCTTTTGGTATTATTATTTTTTGAGACAGGGTCTCACTCTCTTGGCCAGGCTGCAGTGCTGTGATCACACCTCAGCCTCAACTTCCTGGCTTAAGTGATCCTCCCACCTGAGCCTCTCAAGTAGCTGGGACCACAGACACATGCCACCATGCCTGGCTAATTTTTTATTTATTGTAGTGATAGGGTCTCACTATGTTGCCCAGGCTGGTCTTGAACTCCTGGGCTCAGATGATCCTCCTGCCTCAGCCTCCCAAGGTGCTAGGATTACAGGCATGAGCCACCATGCCCAACCTGGCATTAGGCTTTTCAGTATGAGGTTGGTGTTTATGACTTCCAAACCTCCCGGAAGCTGCTGCTATAACCAACTGGGACATCTGCCTCTCAGTGTGGCAGCACACAGGGTGTGGGTGCTCAGATCTCCAACTCACCACCTACTGCTGTCAAAATGACATGAGGAGTTGGGTTTTCATTCACGCCAGTCTTTAGTTCATTGTGCTTTCAAAGGTTTCCACCCAGGCTGGCAACAGTGGTAACGTTTTCCACCGAGTGCAGCACTGCAATTTGTGTTGACAGAATGGCTGAATGACATCGTCTGCACAGTGCCTAAATTTCCTGAGACTGGTTGATCTGAGAATCAAAGTAAACCATTGAAAGACTCTAAAGTGCAAAGCCTGAGGACCTTCTCAGACGCTGTACGTTCTGGTAAAGCTTTTGCTCAGAATCTTTCCCAATCTGTGAGTCATCACTTGTTGCTAGACTTAAAATTTTTAAAACTGGCATGAGTCAGAGACATTTAGCAAAACTTCCTAAAATGTTACTTTACCAGGAGATAATTGTCTTCAAAACATAGCCAAACTACACAGTGGCGTTGTAGCCCCGTAGTTCAACTGTTGATTTTTAATTTTTTTAGTTTGAGTTCTAAAATTTTTCAAATAAGCTTTTGGATGCAATGTGTTTTGAATTGGATGCAGGAAAAAGAAAATGTTCCTTCTGTGAGCACAATGCAAATAATGTGCTCCCAGTGTGAAATAAAAATACTTCTCTAAATATATCCTCCCTCAAAATGGTCAAATGGACCTCAGGAATATTGCTTTAAAATGCAAAGAAACAGGAGGTCCTCCCTACCTCTACATGTCACAATGACTAGAAACATCTGCTGACATTTTTTCTTCTCTGATCTTTTTGGGTTTTCTTTACTTTTCACATTTTTATTTTATTTATTTATTCATGTATTTATTTTTTTTTGAGACAGTCTCACTCTGTCACCCAGGCTGGAGCACAATGACACCATCTCAGCTGACTGCAACCTCTGCCTCCCGGGTTCAAGCAACTCACATGCCTCAGCCTCCCAAGTAGCTGGGATTACAGGTGTGCACCACCACACCCAGCTAATTTTTCTATTTTTTTAGTAGAGATGGGGTTTCATCATGTTGGCCAGACTGGTCTCGAACTCCTGGCCTCAAGCGATCTATCTGCCTCAGCCTCCCAAAGTGCTGGGATTACAGGCATGGGCCACCTCACCTGGCCCACATTTTTGGTTTTTGTATATTACAAAAGGCTGGTAAGTGGCTTACATTTGGCCATGTTCCTTGGGTGTAGGCCAAGTCCACGTCAGACATGTATGCCACTGATGGACAATTTTCAGGAACATCTATTATCAACTAAATGCTGTCTGGCAGCCTCTGAGTGGGCCATTCATCTAGTGGGAACCACCTGGCTTAGTTCTCTGGAGGCTCAAATGAAAGAGAATCCTTCCTAAGTCACAGCCTAGCAACAAGAAGGATGGGTAAAGCTGACTTCAACAGTGTTGAGCCCAGAATCCCACTAACACTTTCTCTTTCCACCTTATATGTTTAATAACCTTTATTGCCTTTCTGACTTTAATCATAGGACATACTCAATATAAAACTTGGAAAAGTCAAATAGGCACAAAAGGAAAATAGACTGCCTGTGTATGTATATATGCATTTGTGCGTGTGTGCATATATATACATATATTCACTTCTATTATGAAAGTTTTCAAAGCTGAATGGTACAATGAAACACACACAGTACCTAGGTTCAATAAATGTTAATTTTGCTGTTTTCCTCCCCATATAGCCTGAGAAAGGTGCAGTGGCTCACAACTGTAATCCCAGCACTTTGGGGGAGGCCAAGGAGGGAAGATCGCTTTAGCCCAGGACTTTCAGACCAGCCTGGGCAACAGAGCAAAACCCCTTCTACAAAAAATTGAAAAAATTAGCCAGGCGTGGTGGCGTAACACCTGCAGTCCCAGCTACGTGGGAGGCTGAGGGAGGAGGATCGCTCGAGCCCAGGAGTTTGAGGCTGCAATGAGCTATGATTATACCACTTTACTCCAGCCTGGGCACCAGAGCAAGTACGTCTCAAAAAAAAAAAAAGTTGCTGGTATTGAAGATTTGCCCATAATACACTAAAAAGAACATAATTACAATCACATTATCGTACTGAAGAAAACAATTCTATATTACCTATATTCGTTTCATTTTCAAATTTCCAATTGTTACAAGAATTGTTATAGTCATTTTTGTTGAACTAGGATGCAAAAAAAATTATTCATACATTGTATTGGGTTGTCTCTTAAATGTCTTTTAACCCCAGAATGCCTACTCCTTCCTTTTTTGAAATGACACTTACTGAAGAGCCCTGGCAGTTACGGAATATCACAGATATTCTGCTCACCTGATTGTTTCTAAATGTTAACTTGTGCCTCTACCCCCTCTCCATTTCCTGTCAGCTGGAGGTCTAGATGCTTGGTTAGATTCCAGTCAACAATTTCTTGGTGAGATACTGCTGTGTTCTTGGTATCATCTTAGGAAGCACAGAAACATCAGGCCGTCCCATAAGTGACACTAGGTTTGATCACTTGATTATGGTGGCGGCAGTCAGATCTGTCAATTGTGAAGATTGGTGTTTTCCAAATTAGGCGTGGTGGCTCACATCTGCAGTCCCAGCTACTCAGGGGTGCTGAGGTGGGAAGATCACTTGAGCCTGAGAAGTCGAGGCTGCAGTGAGCTGTGATCACATCACTGCACTCCGGCCTGGGGGACAAAGCGAGACGCCCCTCTCTAAAATAAGTAAAGATTGATGTTTTCCTTTTGCAAGTGACCTGTGCAGCAACATTTGAGTGTTGTGCTAAAATTCTGTTCCTCAGCAGCCTTTTACCTGAAAGGTTTTGGCATCCAGTGATCTTTGCCTGGTCAGTTATCTCATTAATGGGTTAAAATGTTGGAACCTCTCATGGCACATGCTGAGCAGCCAGTAGTCTTCAGGACAATGGATTCTCTAGGTAAACTTGTCACCACACTGTTCCAAGTGAGGCTGGAAGACAGTTTGTCAACACCATATTTCAGGCTGGAGGTGGAAAGAAGCTGTTGAGGAAACTCCCTTTGCAAGCCCTACTCCCAGCTCCCAGCTGGTGAGACAATTTACATGGAAAAACCATGAATACAACACAAGATCTGAAGTGTCTCCACCCTCTAGGCACCTAGGGAAAGCTTGGATTTGCTTTGGTACACTGTCTAGTTGTACAGGATCCCTGCAACTAGTAGTCAGACCTGCCTTCCTAACAAACCTGCTGAAAAAGGTAGTAATAGTTAATGCAAAGATGAAAAACACTGGTCTGCCAAATTAGAAACAACTCCGCAGACCTAACTGGCACTTATCATCATGCACTATACATTCAAATAGGAAAGAACAAAAGAACATACACAAAATATCGGGAACACATTGTTAACTGTGTCTACAAAGCAGGGTGAGGACAGGGCACGCGGCTCAGGGCCTATAATCCCAGTACTTGGCAAGGCCAAGGTGGGAGGATCGCTTGAGGCCAGGAGTTGGAGACAAGCCTGGGCAACGTGAGACCGTCTCCACAAAAGAAGTTTTAAAAATTAGCTGGGCATGGTGGTGAGCTCCTGTAGTTCCAGGGACTTAGGAGGCTGGGGAGGGAGAATTGCTTGAAGCCAGGAGGTCAAGGCTGCAGTGACCTATGACGGCACCACTGCAAAAATAAAGGCAGGCAGGATGATGTGTAAGAATGGACAGAATTTCAAAATCAAATTTCTAGAGAGCTTTTCAGAATAAAAAGTTTGAAGAGTGAGACGGCATCCTAAGATATTTCATTTTATATTACATAGTTAAGTTTCAAATTATTTTCTGGAGGAAAATTAAACACCTTCTAAAAACCTAAAGGCAGATGAAGCTCACAGGTGAAAGTCACTCCACTCTGGGGCTCCAGAAGGCTGAGTCTTAGTCAACATGACTTTTTTTTTCTTTTCAGAGACAGGGTCTCATTCTGTCACCCAGTCTGAAGTACAGTGGTACAATCTTGGCTCACTGCACACCCCGCCTCCCAGGCTCAAGCGATCCTCCTCCATCAGCCTCCCGAATAGCTGGGGCTACAGGCAAGTGCCACCAGGCTCAGCTACTTTTTGTATTTTTTGTAGAGATGGGGTTTTGCCATGTTGCTCAGGCTGGTCTCAAACTCCTGGGCTCAAACGATCCTCCTGCCTCAGCCTCTCAAAGTGCAAGGCTTATGGGTGTGAGCCACCACACCCAGTCTTCTACATGGTTTTTCTGAAAGCTCTGATTACATGCTGAATTTACAAATGGTGGAAAACAAGGAGTAATGGTTAATAAGCTGAATGGTACAGTACAAATTACACAAGGAACAATACATGAATTAGAAATTTAAAATTTAGTTGAAATATAAAATAAATTATTGCCAGAAACACAAAGGGCACATGAATACAATAGGGGAAACAGCTTAATGGCTTTCTGTTCTCTGAAAACTCAAGGCCCATCTCTGAGTGATAAGAGTACCCTAACAGGCAAAGCCCTCTGAGGTCCGGGACCAGGAAGACAGTGCTACTCCACCTACTGGCGGTCTGGCACTATCTGTAGGCTGGAGTTGGGCTGGGGATGGTACATTCAAAATGGACTTTGGTAAACTAGGGGACAACCCAGACAAACACTGCAGAAAGGAGGAAGGACTCCCTTTCCAGCATCTCAAATTCAAGGCTCCAAGTTACTGGGCTTGGGCAAAGTCACACATTTTCTCAACAAAGGCCAACTGCTGACAATCCAAATTTTAAAAACACTGCCATTAGGCCAGGCGCAGTGGCTCACGCCTGTAATCCCAGCACTTTGGGAGGCTGAGGCAGGTGGATCACGAGGTCAGGAGTTCCAGACCAGCCTGGCCAACATAGTGAAACCCCATCTCTACTAAAAATACAAAAAATTAGCTGAGCGTGGTGGAGGGCGCCTGTAATCCCAGCTACAGGGGAGGCTGAGACAGGAGAATCGCTTGCACCTGGAAGGCGGAGGCTGCAGTGAGCCAGGATCGCGCCACTGCACTCCAGGCCAGATGACAGTGTGAGGCTTCATCTCAAAAACGAACAAAAAACCCACTGCCATTAAAAGCTTTATTTTATTTACTTATTTTTTAGAGACAGGGTCTTGCTATGTTACCCAGGCTGGCCTTGAACTTCTGGGCTCCAGCCATCCTCCTGCCTCAGCCTCCTGAGTAGCTGGAACACAGATGTGCACCACCACCACACGCAGGAAGAGCTTTATTTTAGAAAGTACTCTTCCTACATGTGAAGTCTCCAAGAATAAAGAAAAGAAAGTACTCGTCTTTGGCAAACAGTGGAGATCTTCTGAACCTTTTTTGAGATGGAGTTTCACTCATCGCCCTGGCTGGAGTAGCAATAGCACAATCTTGGCTCACTGCAACCTCTGCCTCCCGGGTTCAAGCAATTCTGCTGCCTTAGCCTCCTGAGTAGCTGGAATTACAGGTGCCTGCCACCAGGCCCGGCTAATTTTTTTTTTTTTTTTTAGTAGAGATGGGGTTTCACCATGTTGACCAGGTTGGTCTTGAACTACTGACCTCAGGTGATCCACCTGCCTCAGCCTTCCAAAGTGCTGGGATTACAGGCATGAGCCACCGTGCCCGACCGAGTTCTTTTTTTAATGAAAAGAATTTGACATTCCTGCAGTAGATATAAGGCAGCAGAAACAGGAACTGTGCAGGCATGTGTAACAAGAATGCAGATGCCATTTATTTGGTCCATAAGTATAGTCGTTATTTGAGTTTTACAAAACATCGAATATAAATAACCTGAAACTGTAACAATACACAAAAATTGGCTTCTTACACAGACATACCAGGCGGTACAAACTGAAAACTTGAGTAAATTAACATTGTTTTACATTAATATACATAGTGCCATCTAACATTTAAAAACAAGTTTCAATGCATAGCACTCGATACTTCTTTGAATCTGTTTCAATCAGTTAAGAGTATGAAAATGGTTAGATCTAGGCTAAAAATAATTCTTCTTCTAGCCAAAAATAAAGGCATAATATTTATAACCAGGTATCAACTTTACTAAACCACAATATTTTGAAACTATTAATGATACCTACGGGTATTTACATTAAAAAGGCAACATGCATTGTGTTGTTTTATCTCATGACTGGTTATGCACACACTTTGTTCAAAGGGTTTTTAAAACTATATTCCTACTTTCAATACAGCATACTGCAATGTGTCTAACAGTTCTAGCAAAATGAATGCTTTCAAAGGGAGCAGAATCATTTTCAAGTCACTGCTGTCAATTTTTTCCCTTTGGAACAAAGGACATAACAATCTGGTTCTGCCCAGATAAACTAAATAGTAAGAGGGTTCTGTTTAGAGGCATTTCTGTTCAATCTAATGCTATGACATCATCAAGCTCTTCCTTCTGTTCTATACGTGACCTCTTTGCACTGAGATTCTCTTTCTCATCTAATTTCCTCTTGCGGCTTCTCTCTTCTTCACTGACGTCGGCATTATTTGAAGAATCTTCTTCATCTGAATCAACTATGAGAACGTCATCTTGCTCTTGAGCTTATTTCAGAAAAAAGGGAAAAAGAAAATGGGTAAAAGCGTGGGAGTTACCTGTGCTCACCTGTATTTTCTATAATTGAAAGCTGACTCTTCTAATACACACCAGACTTAAGAATGGCTGCATTTTCACTTTACACATTACGTATTTCCATACTGTTTTAAATGTTTTATATAAGAACCTATTTATTTTCTAATCAAAACAAAAAATTGTGACAAGCATTATGTAACTCAAAGTACTCATTACACATCCTTGATTCTACCTCCACATTCTCCAATAGAAAAGCAGAGGGTACATATTCTAATAATGGTAGTAGTGGTAACAATAGCAACAACAATACAGCACTTACAATGTGCCAGGAACTGTTCTGAGCACTGTGCATATGACAACTCATTTAATCATCACAACCCTATAAAGAAGATCACATGAGTATCTGCTTTCCAGGAAAGGAAACTCAGTGAATGACTTCCCAAGCTTACATAGTAGCAGAGGATGAAGCCAGGAACCATCCCCAATGCAGAACTGATACTAAAGGTGGTTTTATCTCCTCGTCCAACAAAATCAAAGGCAGAATACCTATCTTACTCATGGCTGTAACCTTGGAAACCTACCCACAGTAGAGAATCAATAAATGTACATTTCAAATTATGATTTTGGAAAATCTACCAGATAGTCTCTTCCTCAAAGGAAGATGACGGACCTTTCTAATTTCAGTGAGGGGGGAAAAAACAGGTTATGAACCAATGACCCAGGCCATAATCTGAATGTTCGTCTCCAAAATTCTCAAGAGAACATTAGAGCCAAGAGTAAACATATTCCAAAGAATGCCACAGACATAGGGTCAAAGAAATGAAAACAAAGAAGTCAAAATCTGGTAACCTTTAGTTTCCTAACTAAAGGAAGAAAGGGAGAGGAGTAAATATTCAAATCAGAATACAGTAAACAATCAGTTATTTGGAAAAATACCAAGCACCAGCACTGAAAATCCAGGGGAAAGGACTATACCCAAGTCATACTGGTGACAAGGAAACTCTAACATGCCTAAATTCCATACTTAACAAGCACCTGTTCACTCAAAATAGTCAGATGCATGGATTTATTGCTCCTTAAAACAAGCATACAAAACCCCAACCTGCTACTACATAGGCTGACTTTGCACACTAGTAAACTATCATTTCAAACTGTTAAAAACCAATTAACAAAAAATAACAAAGTGTTCTTATTTTCTGTAAGAAATTTCCATAAGAATTTCCCCCAGTCTTAAATGACTTGTTTGTTTGGAGCCGGAAGCCTCGCTCTGTCACCCAGGCTGGATGGAGTGCAGTGGCGCGATCCCAGCTCACTGCAACCTCCGCCTCCTGCCTCAGCCTCCCGAGTAGCTGGGACTACAGACGCATGCTGCCACGCCCAGCTAATTTTTTGTATTTTTAGTACAGATGGGATTTCCCTGTGTTGCCCAGGTTAGTGTCAAACTCCTGAGCTCAGGCGATCTGCCCGCCTCGGCCTCCCAAAGCGTTGGGGTTACAGGTGTGAGCCACCATGCCAGGCCTTAAATGACTTTTTTTTTTTTTTTTTTGAGACATGGTCTTGCTGTTGCCCAGGCTGCAGTGCAGTGGTGCAATCATGGCTCACTGCAGTGTCGAACTCCTGGGTTCAAGTGAACCACTTCAGCCTCCTGAGTAGCGGAGACTACAGGTACACGCTACCATGCGTGGTTAATTTTTTTTTTTCTTTGTAGAGATGGGGGTCTCTCATTGTGTTGCCCAGGCTGTTCTCCAACTCCTGGCCTCAAGTAATACTCCCATCTTGGCCTCTCAAAGTGCTGGGATTACAGGTGTAAGCCACCACACCCAGCCTTAAATGTCTTCATGGTTCATAAATTCAAAGCTCCATTACAACAATCAATACCAAACCAATACACACCTCTAGTAGTTTTATGGATTTATGGTCAATGTTCCTAATAATCAGTTTGTTTTTACTTCTGCTTTGTGGGTATTTAACAACCTGCTGGCTGGGGCCATACTCACCTGTGGAGGTGGAGGGCTGAGCTCCATCATCACTGCCATTGGTTATGCTTTTGGCAGCATCTTCAGCTTGTTTGGGCCCCACTTTTTCCGGGGCATCACCAACAACTTCAAATTCAACGTCCTTTCCTAGGTCTTCACTGTAGGAGAATCACACAGGTCACTGCTATGACTATTTAGAAAGCAAAGGAGCACCAGAGAAATCCTGTTGTTCCTCAAAGCATACACTATGTATACACCAAATATGTGGATTCTAATTTTTTTTTTAATTTTTATTTAAAAAAAAATGAGAGATAGGGTCTCATAATGTTGCCCAGGCTGGTCTTGAAATCTTGGGCTCAAGCCATCCTCCCACCTTGGTCTCCTAAAGTGCTGGGATTACAGGCGTGAGCCAACCATACCCACCTTGGATTCTAATTTTCAAAGCACTGAACTTATAATAAAAAAGACGGTACACAACAAATTTCTGTGATAATCAAAAACTCTACATGCACTTTCAAATCAGGGCAAGGTTTTGGTTTTTTGTTTCTTTAAAACAGTAAATAACTTTTATTGCTGAAGCATAAAACTGGGTCCAAAGCTTGGTGGCCTAAAGCAACTCTTGGACATTATTTCTTTAGCTACAATGCCAAAAAAAGATTTCTACATCCTCTACTTACAATGTGATCTTTTTCTTTTTTTCGAGACGGAGTCTCACTCTGTCACCCAGGCTAGAGTGCAGTAGCGTGATCTCGGTTCACTGCAACCTCTACCTCCCAGGTTTTCAAGCTATTCTTCTGCCTCAGCCTCCCAAGCAGCTGGGACTATAGGCGCGCCACCACACCTGGCTAATTTTTTTGTATTTTTAGTAGAGACAGGGTTTCACCATATTGGCTAGGCTGGTTTTGAACCCCTGAGCCTGTGATCCGCCCGCCTCAGCCTCCCAAAGTGCTGGGATTACAGGTGTGAGCCGTCACGCCTGGCCTACAATGTGATCTTAACTATAGTAATGTGGTGTCTTATGGGCAGAACTACATGATTTCTGGGTCCCCCCATCTTTACAAGCTACACCATGCTTCTGTACATGAACTCCCAAAAACATCAGAAACATTTAAGTCAAACAAAAGACACACGTTTTAAGGGGTGGGGTTCTGTTCCCAGAGAGCTAAAAAATATGATTAAAAACCCTAATTATGCCTCCTCTTTTAGATACCTTGTGGTATTTCCACTTTATTGTACATGTCCTTCCACTGTCTTTTCTTTCACAAGTGAAAACAAGCATGCCACTTATATCTAGTGTCCAACTGAAGCAGGACCACTTTGACTCCATTATCTAACTGTGAAATACACTACTTACTAATAACTCACATTCAGTCCTTCCTGTCATTTTTTTTTTTTTTTCTGACATGGAGTCCCCCTCTGTCGCCCAGGCTGGAGTGCAATGGCGCAATCTCGGCTCACTGCAAACTCGGCTCCCCGGTTCAAACAATTCTCCCGCCTCAGCCTCCTGAGTAGCTGGGACTGCAGGCACATGCCACCACACCCAGCTAATTTTTGTATTTTTAGTAGAGACGGGGTTTCACCATGTTGGTCAGGCTGGTCTTGAACTCCTGACCTCGTGATCCACCCGCCTCAGCCTCCCAAAGTGCTGGGATCACAGACATGAGCCATCGCACCTGGCCTCCTTCCTGTCATTTTATGCTTTTTATAAACAAAGTATGAAATGTAGTTCTCTCCAAATAACCACACCAACACTATGCATGTTTGTATACTCATGAAAATATTGACAAAATAACTGGACGCAGGTGGCAGCACCACTAAACCCTTTATGTTTGTTAGATGCTACCCATAAATCTCAAGTCAGGCACAGTTCCACCATGTCAATGAGCATGAACAAAAATGCACCCTGGTCAACACATGAATATATCAGAATAGGGGGCCATGTCTATCTTAACTGTGCTATAGACTCAGGAATCTGTACAGACAATTCCTTTTTTTTTGAGATGGAGTTTTGCTCTTGTCACCCAGCCTGGAGTGCAATGACGCAATCTTGGCTCACTGCAACCTCTGCCTCCTAAGTTTCTGGGATTACAGGCATGCGCCACCACCAGCCTTTGGCCAGGCTGGTCTCAAACTCCTGATCTCAGGTGATCCACCCGCCTCGACCTCCCAAAATGCTGGGATTACAGGTGTGAGCCACCATGCCCAGCCAGTACAGACAATTCCCAATATTCTTTTGTTATTGCCACAAAATCACAAACGAAATGATTTGTTTTATGGAAGAAATATTTTTTTCTAGAGAACCTTGAAAAATAATTAATAATTTTATTCCAGTTTAATTACTACAATGAATTTGCCTCTGTTTAAACTGTTCAAACACCTGGACTCTAGGTCTTTCTGATAAGCCACCACTGATGACAGTTACTCTTAAAACATTTTTTGCTTATTTCTTTTATTTCTGGTTTTCTTTTTTTTTTTTTTAAGTTGGAGTCTCACTCTGTCTCCCAGGTTGGAGTGCAATGGCGCGATCCCGGCTGACTGCAACCTCCACCTCTCGGGTTCAAGGGATTCTCCTACCTTAGCCTCCCAAGTAGCTGGGACTACAGGCGCCTGCCACTATGCCCGGCTAATTTTTGCATTTTTAGCAGAGACGGGGTTTCACCGTGTTGGCCAGGTTGGTCTCGAACTCCTGACCTCAGGTGATCCGCCACACCCCGCCAATTTCTGAATCCTCAAATTTTTCTGTAGGTCAAACATCACGGAACTCAGTGACCAACTCAACCAAATATACTATACAGTTTCAAATGAACAGCAGGGTTTAAGGATAAGAAAACACTTTTCCTTCATTTTGTCTAAAGTTTATATATTCAAATAATTTCTTACAATTAAAATACTAATAGCTCTTACCTATGAAGGATGTTGATCAATAAAGTATAGTCCTGGAGGAAGTCATCTGCTTGAAGCCGGCTGCCATTTCTAATTCCAAATTCTGACAACTTCTTGTGATTATTAGCTAGGAAACGTGAATAATTTAGATACTTCAGTTACATCTTCATAGAGCAGTCAGGTTGATTTTTTAAAAAGCTAAACCTCTGTTATGGGCTGATTTGTGTCCCGTTCACCAAAATCCAAAGGTTGAAACCCTAATCCCCAGTATCTCAGAATCTGATTGTATTTGGAGATAAGACTTTTTAAAGGAATGATTAAATTTAAATGGGGCAAGTAGGGTGGGCTCTAATCTGATCTGACTGATGTCCTTATAGGAGGAGGAAGGCAGGCACAGTAGCTCACATCTATAATCTCAGCACTTTGGGAGGCCAGGGAAGGATTGATTCCTGAAGCCCAGGAGTTACACAGTGAGGCGTGTGACTGTACCACTGCACTCCAGCCTGCTAGGCAACAGAGCAGCAAAAAAAATTTTTAGGACTCTGTCTCCAGTCAATCAATCAATCAATCAATCAATCCCAAAATCTGGACAGAGACATCAGGGATGTGCACCCCTAGAGGAAAGGCTATGTGACACAACAGAAAGGCAGCTATCTGCAAGCAAAGGAGAGAGGTTTTAAAATAAAACAAACCTGCCAGCACCTTCATCTTGGTGTTCCAGCCTCCAGAACTGTGAGAATATAAATTTCTGTTGTTTAAGCCACCTGGGTTGTGGTATTTGTTATGGAGGCCCTAGTACCCTAAAACATTAAAACGCTGGGAATTCAGTCTTAAAACACTTAACTACCGAAACTACTTCAGGGGGACCAAACTGAGAAATTCTGAAAACTTTTCCCCATTCAAATCAATTTTTTTTAAAGACAGGGTCTCACCGTGTCACACAGGCCAGAGTGCATCCCAGACTTGAGCAGTCTTCCTACCTCAGCCTCCAGAATAGCTGGGACTACAGGTGTGCACCACCATGCCTAACTAATTTTCTTTCTTTTTTTTTTTTTTGAGACAGAGTCTCACTCTGTTGTCCAGGCTGGAGTGCAGTGGCACCATCTTGGCTCACTGCAACCTCCACCTCCCAGGTTCAGGCGATTCTCCTGCCTTAGCCTCCCGAATAGCTGGGATTAAATGCACCCCCTCCACCATGCCTGGCTAATTTTTGTATTTTTAGTAGAGACAGGGTTTTGCCATATTGGCCAAGCTGGTCTCCAACTCCTGACCTCAGGTGATCCACCCACCTCGGCCTCCCAAAGTGCTGGCATTACAGCTACAACGCCCGGCCTAATTTTTGTATTTTTACAAGAGATGAGGTTTTGCCATGTTGGCCAGGCTGGTCTCAAACTCCTGGCCTCAAGTGATCTGCCCGCCTCGGCCCCTCAAAGTGCTAGGATTAGAGGTGTGAGCCAGTGCACCAAGCCCAATTTTCTATATAATCTCAATTTTCAGTCTCCCCCCACTTTTTTTTTGGCTTTTTAACATTTTTTCATTATTTATAAGGAAAACGCTTAGAACGCCTTTCCCTACGTTGACACCCAGAAAATACTAACAGTTTCTCCTAGTTCTTTTCCAGATCTGTTGCTTGCTTTACCATTTTAATCTACCAGGAATGCCCTTGGCATTCTTACCCAGATTTCCACCTCCAAGCCCTTTCACACATCTCCACTGACTGCAAACCTCTTGGAACCATCACATTCAAAAGGAAAACCAGTTAATGTGGGTTCACATTTTGGTGAACTAGCATCACCTGTGAAGTCTTGTGCTCGCCTAACAACGCTGCTAACATTGTAATGCTATTCCTCAACTGGGCTCCAAGTTCTGACTTTGCAAATCTCAAATCTATCACCTGCCTCTGCCTTAGTAAAAATCCCTCAATCCCCTCCTCCCTAATAGCTCCCTGCTACTCCCCTGTTTAAACCCTGGTGGCAGGTGGCAGTGAAATACTGCCCCTTCCTCTGGAGGGTAGGGGTCAAGGGAGAGGAGGAAGACACACACTGCACATGTGACAAGAAAGACTTCAACCTCACCACTGCTGCCAACCCCTCAGCACCCCAACTTCCAGCGAAACCAAATAATGGGCCACTCCCAAGGCAGTTTAGGTTGTTTCACAAGTTCACACCTTTGTAGACAGATGTTCATTCTGTCTAAATGCTCTCTTCTTTGTCCAGGGAGTCCTCACTACTACTTCAAAAACTGACCCAAGAGTACTCCCTCTCCTATTACTCCCCCTCCGTTTCACAAAGCTGAATATACTTTCCTTAGATTCATACTGTGTACACACTCTTTCTAGTTTTCCTTGGACGATGCTCAATCCAGCTGTTGACAATCTCCCTTCTTCCAGGCTGCAAGGCACTTCAAGCCAAGGTCTGTTGTCTTATTCATCCTTGACTTATGAATACCCAAAACTATGCCTGTCATACAGGACTCCACACATATTCTGGTAAGTGCTGTCTCACCCTCCATACCACATGTATTCCGTACAGAAGGGTCACGCTGAAGCCACTGAAATTCCTGACCAGTTTCCATTTTTAAGCTAGCATTTGAAAGAGCTGGCTACAACTAAGGGACAGCATATAATCACAAACAAACATTTTTTTAAAAGTCAGCTGGCTAGAATGAGGCTTGAATACTCAAGTAGACTCCTAAAATAGAGCACCACACAGCCAAAACATGGCCTCCAATTACACATGACCTAATAGCCCAAAAAATTTCTCAACAAGCAACTACAACCAAGAAGAACCTTGACACTAAACCTGAATTTAAAGAAGGCTTAACATCTGAATCGCCATCAGGACCTCACAAAGTATGAATAAATGACCAATGGACAAATAGGTATGAATTAAGTCAATATACAGGGAAACACAGGGCCTAGAAACCTTCGAAAATAACAGTACACTGGCAAAAACTGGGACATGGAAAAAACGAGAACAGCAACTCAAGAAATGAGCTGCAAAAGTGACCAAGGAGGTATAGGATCAACGAGTACAGTCTGAAGGAGGAATAACTACGATGCAATCCTTACTATGAAAGCTTCAACAGAATCAAATGTATTGTACCTTGTATAGCAAATGTGTTAGCAAAAGGGATGAACTGCTTGAACTTTTGAAAGGAAAGATCAGAAAGCCAAAACCGGGCACTGAATTTCAATAATCTTTCTGCTATATAGTAGGAACAGGCTACCAAGGCTTCCCCACTCTTGGAGAAAAATCTCCAAATGCCTTAGAACCCTACCCACTGTGATCTGACAGACAGAATAGTCTTCTCATCACAAGGTTAGCTCCCAGGATCCATGATATCGGCAAGGAGGTTCCTTGGAAGTGGACAAGAGCACTGCAGTCCCTGAAAATGTCTGACATGGAGTTCCCAAACATGGAAGTGTGATGACCCCCAGCAATGTCACCTTGAAAGAGCACCTTCATGACCAAACACTGCCACTCTCTGCAATACTGAGTATCACATACAGTAAATGAATCAACTAATGTGCACTCTTCAAGCAGTCTCCTCAATGAGAGGAATGAATAAATACAATGTATGATACCTTCCGTCTCTCCCTCTTCGGAAGATATTAGGATTGTTCCTTTCCCATCTTCAATTTGGACATCTGGTGCTACCATAGCAAATTTTTCTTTCACTATCTACAAAAAAAAAAAAAAGGATTCAAAATATTAACGTAGGTAATTAAAGATCATAAGAAATCCTAGACTTCTATAAAGGCTCTTACTTTCCCCTTCTATTTATTGGAAACCGGCGAAGTCACTCTTCAAGATCCCTTAGAGCAAGCAGGAAAGCCGTGGGGATTCACCTGAGTTCCATCCCCACATCTGACCACTGATGCAGATCAGATCCAACTTCATCTCAACAGGGGACTAGGAACTCCCTGGCTGGCTCTTGCTACTTTGTCTTTCCCTGCAGGTTAGGTAGTGAGCTACACACTTGACATATTTCATTTCAGTCTCTGTGCCAACCCTGTAATGGCAGGGGTTTCATAGATGGAATCAGTTCTCATTAACCTGACTCTCAGATAAGTCTCCCCGTTCCATGCATTTAGAGAAGTGATAATATTCTGTTAAATCCTACCAGCTCCTAAAAAAGAAAGAAGGAAAAAAGGAGGAACTCTCTATAGGTCTAAGAATCCTACAAATAGAGGAATAACCTTGAAGCTCAAGAATCAGGAGATACCAAAGATAATTATTTCCTAGAAAAGAAACTGGGGCAACCACCCGCTGCTGTACCTGCCACTTCCTTGACCAAAACATAAGCTCAAATCAATCCGTCCTGCCTAACCAGTTTCTGGAAGAAAGGCCATTCCCTATCAGGCAGCACTGCTATTTGAGAAGGGCCACTTCCTCCTCTCTCAAGAGGCATGTAAATATGTAGCATTATGATGGTCACAACCAGAGAACAATAGGAAGTGATCCCAAAGTGGAAAGTGACACTTTTGGGTCATAAAAAAAGAAAATCTCCCCTAATACACAAATCTAGCCAATTTAACAGGAACTTAAGGACCAGACCATGTCCTAAACCCCCATTTCTTCCCTCGCTTCAGCTCCAGAGGTGAATCCAGGTGTGCAAATGCCCTATGTCCTCAGGGACTAACTTACCATATCAGAATCAGGTCATATTAGATAAGTGTGTACCACCACTTAGCCTCAACTCAGACCTCAGAAATAACAAAAGCCCCCTAATTTGCTGGGAGTGGGCACTGTCCAACACGCAGAGAAACCAAAACTCTGCAAGTTACTTATACCCTTTAATACAAAGCTGGTAACTGGGGCTTTGCTCTACTGGAAATGCAAACTTTGCACTGCATGCAAATACTTATCTGCTCACTGCCACAGTGAGGACCATTCAAGGATACCTGTTATTTGTCAAAAAATACAGAATTTACCCACTGCCTGGGAAGCAAAGAGCAAAGAAGTCCTCTGCTTGCTGTGATACTGTGCCACCACTGTGCTGCAGATTCCAGTCAAATACTCCTACTCCATTCTGGGAATGTGAGGCACTTATTCTGGAACCACAGACAGAAAAGCCTGCAGGAATCCAGAAGGCAAAATAACCCAGGAAATCACAGCCACACATCTCTGCAGTTGGACCTTTTCAGAATCAGCAGCTAGTGTTTGTTTGTCATCACAGTAATACTGTAAAAGCAAAAGGAAAAGAGACCCAGGCCTTGCACTGACCTTGTCTTGTAAGGTGAGAACAGTCACTTTATGGACATTCAGCCGCACAGTCACCTCTGGCTTGCTGGCACATACATAACAATTGGGGTTGGGAGGATCCAGTGCACAAGGCACAAGAAGCTTCTTTCTTGGGTTTGGTTGTTTATTCAAAAAAATCTTTGGAGGAGAAATAACAGGCAGAAATCGGAAACGTGCTGTAATTTTATACGCCATACAATCTAAAATCTCGTTTACCAGATATCCAATAAAAAATGACTTAAAAATTCCCGTCCAGATGGCAAAATGGATCAGGAAAATCATGACCTTTTTAGGAACCTGGTTTTTCAACCTTCTTTTTTTTTTTTTTTTTTTTTTTTTTTTTTTTTTGAGACGGAGTCTTGCTGTCGCCCAGGCTGGAGTGCAGTGGCGCAATCTCGGCTCACTGCAGGCTCCGCCCCCTGGGGTTCACGCCATTCTCCTGCCTCAGCCTCCCGAGTAGCTGGGACTACAGGCGCCCGCCACCTCGCCCGGCTAATTTTTTGTATTTTTTTTTTAGTAGAGACGGGGTTTCACCGTGTTAGCCAGGATGGTCTCGATCTCCTGACCTCGTGATCCGCCCGCCTCGGCCTCCCAAAGTGCTGGGATTACAGGCGTGAGCCACCGCGCCCGGCCTCAACCTTCTTTTCTAATCAGCTAAAGGCTAGGCTAGCTAGGCTTGCTGAAAAGACATCTCCTTGTATTATATAAGACTCCGCGTTCTTCTGCAACCTGATTTGGCAAGAGTAAGGGCACAGGCATGTTAATCTGTGGTGCCATCATTGTATCAGCAGCTGGTGTCCCTCCCTGAGGCTATTCTTATCAAGCAAGCAATCTCCTGACAAGACCAACACATTAATTTCTCCAGTTAACGATAGTGCCTTTCACAGTTGTCTAGAATCAACATCACTGCCTTCCCAAATTTTCTGATTAGAATAACATTTATATAATGAGGGAAAAAAATGTATTTCTGGCAGTATATGTACCTATTTACCATTTCTCTAATACTAAACAAAAAAATAATTAAGAACCAAGGCAAATATACAAATTACACTGAAATTAAGAAAAGCTCCAAGCTCCTGCTTCTACTAAAGTTTAGAAAACACTAGCAAGATCCAACAGAAACAACAAATGTCAGAAGACAAGAAGCTGAGACACAAACCTTTATCTTGTGACTACAATGTAGTGTTGAGTCTGCTAAGAGGAATGAATTCTAAAGGAGTACTCTACGGATTCCCCTGAGAATACAGAACTAAATCCCTCAAGAGACACTAAAGCCGTCCTCTGTAAAATAGCTTCTCCGTACAATGAATACTGGTAGGTGGAAGGGCTAGAAGCAAACTGCCCAGGCCAAGCAGGCTACAGAGGGAGAAAGATTTGTTTGATTTTGGGCTTCACCGGGAAGGTAAGTGTGCTAAGGGAAACTGACAATAATAAAAGCAATTGCTACCACTATTAATACCTGGGCTAACATTAATCCAGGCTGGAATTCATTTGCAAATGTAAAAAAATGAAATCCAGATATATTACTATATTTTTTCTTGAGGCAGAGTTTCGCTCTTGTTGCCAGGCTGGAGTGCAATGGCGCGATCTCGGCTTAATGCAACTTCCGCCTCCCAGGTTCAAGTGATTCTCCTGCCTCAGCCTCCTGAGTAGCTGGGATTACAAACATGCACCACCATGCCCAGCTAATTTTATATATATATATATATATATATATATATATATATTTTTTTTTTTTTTAGTAGAGACCAGGTTTCTCCACGTTAGTCAGGCTAGTCTCGAACTTCCAATCTCAGGTGATCTGCCTGCCTCGGCCTCCCAAAGAGCTGGGATTACACGTGTGAGCCATCGTGCCCGGCCAGATATATTACTATTAATAGTCCAAGAGTGGCATGGAGCTAAGCAGGCAAAGAAACCGGAAGGATGTGATGGGAAATAACAGACATTTTAATAAGTTCAGTAATTAGTACTGTTGGTGAGCTCAAAGGGATACTACAGCTTCAGGCTGCTATAAAAAATTTTTTTTAAATAATTTAAAAACTGGGTATCGGCCAGGAACGGTGGCTCACTCCTGTAATTCTAGCACTTTGGGAGGCCAAGGTGGGCAGATCACCTGAGGTCAGGAGTTCATGACCAGCCTGGCTAACATGGTAAAACCCTGTCTCTCCTAAAACTACAAAAATTAGCCAGGCGTGGTGGCACCCGCCTGTAATCCCAGCTACTGGGGAGGCTGAGGCAGGAGAATCACTTCTACTTGGGAGGTGGAGGTTGCAGTGAGCTGAGATCGC
Source organism: Homo sapiens (assembly GCF_000001405.40). Taxonomy (NCBI): domain Eukaryota; kingdom Metazoa; phylum Chordata; class Mammalia; order Primates; family Hominidae; genus Homo; species Homo sapiens. The sequence goes on along the minus strand of NW_025791809.1, from coordinate 121,638 downwards.
GCCACTGCACTCTAGCCTGGGTGACAGAGCAAGACTCCATCTCAAAAAAAAGATACCAAAAAATAAAGTTCTTAGAAATTAAAAATATAACATATACAATAAAAGTTTAAATAGAAAACTAAATCAAGATGGCAGACTGGGCAATTTGATTCTGTTCCTTCAAACTGAAATTTCATGAAAATAAAATATTTTAAGAGTGCATCGAGGCTGGGCGCAATAGCTCACGCCTGAAATCCCAGTACTCTGGGAGGCTGAGAAGGGCGGATCACTTCAGGCCAGGAGTTTGAGACCAATCTGGGCAACAGGTGAAACACCGTCTCTACTAATAATACAAAAATTAGCCAGGTGTGGTGGCATGTGCCAGTAATCCCAGCTACTTGAGAGGCTGAGGCAGGAGAATCGCTAGAACCCAGCAGGTGGAGGTTGCAGTGAGCCGAGATCACATCACTGTACTCCACTGTACTCCAGCCTGGGTGAGAGCAAGATTCCACCTCAAAAAAAAAAAAAAAAAAGAAAAAGAAAAGGAAAAAAAGAGCGCATCGGGCCAAGTGCAGTGGCTCACACCTGTAATCCCAGCACTTTGGGGGGCCAAGGTGGGAGGACTGCTTGAGCCCAGGAGTTCAGGACCAACCCGGACAACATAGCAAGACCCCATCAGTTTAAAAAAAAAAGGCCGGGCGCAGTGGCTCATGCCTGTATGCCTGTAATCCCAGCACTTTGGGAGGCCGAGGTGGGCGGATCATGAGGTCAGGAGTTCGAGACCAGCCTAACCAACATAGTGAAACCCGTCTCTACTAAAAATACAAAAATTAGCCGGCATGGTGGCATGCACCTGTAATCCTAGCTACTGAGGAGGCTGAGACAGGAGAATCGCTTGATCCTGGGAGGTGGAGGTTGCAGTGAGCCAAGATTGTGCCACTGCACTCCAGCCTGGGCAACAGAGCTAGACTCCGTCTCAAAAGATAAAAAAAAGTAAGTGTGCATCAATGACACTGCAAAATAACAGTACCATTGCAAACTAGATATTTTTTGAAATTTCTGAAGGTAAACAGGTCTTTTTATTTCAATGATAAAAAGGAGAACCTAAACAACAGTCAAAGTATTGGCTAGTATTTCCTAGGAAGCCTTCTTGAGCTGGTAAGAAAGCGAAGTGTCTGCAGACACAACATCGAAGGAAGGAATCCAAAGAGAACATCCAAGTAGTGTTAGCCTTAAGAGATACACCTACCCCACCCACCACTAAGGTAGGAACTCTTAAAACAGGAGACCCTTACACAAAGCAAGGACCTGAAAAGAGAGGAGAAAAATACTTTCTCCATAAAAATGATCTTAAACTTGGTGCTTAGTGGAGGGGGAGGAGTATCTTCCCATATAATTCATGACAATAACATAGGGCACGTGCAGGTTTGTGGTCTGAATACATAGGTATTGAAAATCCTAATTTAAAAGTGGTCCTGTATTGGCAGTGCCCCAAGCACCCAAATATAATAACCACAAATGCTCTTTGAAGAAATACATCTACAATGGGTCCCTAAAGAATTACCAGACACAATTCTAATACACATTCAGTTTTTAAAAAATCATAAACCATACAAGCAAATCACTACGAGAAATAGCAGAAATGACAGCAGACTCACCCATAAAGATCTCAGACATTAACATTATCAAAAACTATACAATAAAATTGAAAAGAATGACTCAATAGGAGAATGACTGAACAGGGGACTATAAAATGACCAAGCAAATTTTAAAACCCATATAGCACTCTCAGAATTGAAAAACAGTTGAAACATCTTCTTAGTATAAGGACCGCACAATGAATTCTTCGAAGAATTCAGTAAAATTGGAAATGTTAAAAGCAAAAGCAACTTCTTAATTTTTCCTTTTTGTTGCAATTTCCAGGAAGCTTAAACACACACTCACTTGGTAACCAGAAAAATTACTTTTCCATTGCTTTAAACCAATTTTATTGTTTTCATTTTAAAAATTATCTGTTTAATGTACTTTTAATTAATGATTTTTTTAAGGGGGGTTGCATAAAAATGCAAACAGAAATACTCACTGTTCTGCACTGGTCTATTTTTCCTGATAAAATCTTCAATCCTTCCAATACTATCAACCCAGCAATTACTGCATTAGTAGTAGCAATAGCAGGAATAATGTTCCCTGCCATTGCTGGGAAAAAAAAAAAAGGATGAGTATGTTTCACTGTTTAAAAAACAACTTCAAGGTTTTAGTGATACAACTTTAGTACAAATAACTTACATTTGATATCAAATCTACTCTTCATATTCATACTGAAAATATGCATCCTGAGGTTTGCAGCAGAGGTGACAAAATCCATTGCAGATGGGTCATCCTGCCAATAATTTAAACAATTTAACAAGTTTCTCCACAAATTGACTATTTTGAAGCATTACTTTCAGAACAATACTTTCACGTGTTTATAATACTATAGACTTTCGACTAGAACAAGAGGTTGCTGAGGGAAAGACCAGTCAGCTAGGACCTCACAGTAGCATGGAGGTGGGTTAAGTAGGGGGTGGGGTCTCATCATCAGCTCCTCTGGTCCAGTAATGAGTCTGACAAGAACACCAAGAATCACCAGCTTCTAGGAACTCACTCCAGCCTAAACAAAGGCACCGGAGACTCAGTTGTATACACCGGAATCTCAATTCCACTCACTGACAATGGCAACCCTTTCCTGGTTCCATTCATCAGTAAAGAGAAGGTTGCTGGACAAACACAGAATCCAGGCCAAAAGACGAGCAATTTAAGAAAACTGTTTTAGGCTGGGCATGGTGGCTCATGCCTGTAGTCTCAAGCAATTTAGTAGGTTGAGGCAAGCAGATTGCCTGAGCTCAGGAGTTTGTGACCAGCCCGGGCAACGTGGCAAAACCCCATCTCCACCAAAAACACAAAAAATTAGCCAGGCATGGTGGCGCACACCTAAAGTCGTCCCAGGTACTCGGGAGCCTGAGGTGGCGGGATCACTTGAACCCGGGACGCAGAGGCTGCAGTAAGCCAAGATCATGCCACTGCACTCCAGCCTTGGTGACAGAGTGAGACCCTGTCTCAATTAAAAAAAAAAAAAAAAAAAAGCTGTTTCATTAACACTTCAGAAAAACCTGGATGACTCTTTTTCACTCCCCTTTGCCAAACTCTCTTCATATGCACCACTCTCTCACATATGCTGTTTCTTCAAATAAGGCAATACAATCCAAGTTTTTCCTGTTACGATTTGTATTTTTCCTGAGACTATATCCTAGTCTCTAGATTTCAGCAAGGCTTCCTGCTTTGAACTGAGAAGATATCACCCTGGTCTAAAATTCAGAGGCATCACAGAACAGAAGAAAAAATACTGAGAGCATAGTTCTTTATGTATTTATTGGCTGGCTGTGAATCCTCAGGCAAGTCAAATTCCTTGAGTCAAAATCTCTTAATCTATTAAATAGGGGAAATTATATCCCCATCTCATAAGGTGTGGTGAGGACTAAGAATACTGAATACTCAACACAGTGTCTTCCCTAAGCAGCTGTCTTATCACACCCATTACATGTGGACTTTACTCAAGAGGATAACAATTCCCATTCCAAGGGCTCTTTATTTAGCCTCTGTGCACTAATCAAACTTCCCAAATCACTAGCATAACAATAACAATGAAAATATGAAAAGTTACCCTTTAAATATCACAAAACCCAAGAGACTAATGTTTATAAGAATCCCAAGAATCTAAATATACTAGCTTCATTTTAGTGTATTTAGATGTCTGATTCAACCAAAGTTTCAAAATATGTACACACAAATTTTTCTTAGGTTTCTAAAATTGGCCTTTATGCCTTAAGACCCATGACTAATCTTCAACACCACAGGAACATACAAGCTTCATGAGATAAAACACTTTTAGCCATAGAAAATACTGATTACAATTAAAATTAAGTAAAATTAGTTCATAATATCAAATCTCAAAAGATGACATAACTGCAGAGTACTATTAAATATGATTTTAACTTCTAAGAATAATTACATCTCATTTTTGTATCAAGAGCTCTGTCTTTCAGACCTCTGAAATAGTAATAACTATTTCAATTCAAAGACAATCTTACTATTTTCAAGGGCAAATCAGGCCAATGAGATGTTTTCTCCAAATGATTTTATGACTTCTATGAATACATCTACTCTACACAAGAAACATTTCACTTTAATATATTCACGTTATTTTTCTAGTCAACATAATTATAAACCCTGAACACATCACTAGAATCCCAAATGAAGTTTTATGATATTGCTTGAATTCATGTACAGAAAATTCAGCTCCATACAGCAATTAGAGCTGAAAATATCCAAGCCAAATCAATATATTTCCTCAAAATCTAGTAAATATTCAAAAAATGACTAGCTTCTATTACATCTCAAGAACTAAAACACACTTTTGACATGTAAGTACTTGCCACACATTGTCAAAACGAACCTTATCCCATATGAGCTCAGCTCCATCCCCCTTTTCTGCTAAATGAACTCTCAAAGTCTCGATGCTCTTTGAAAAAAGACGTGCATAGCTCTTTACATCTAGAACCTGCTGGTCTTTCAGGCCTAACTGGGGTTCATTCTGTTGATCTGATGCATTCGTTTCTTCTCCTAAAGAAAAAAATATATATATTAGAAATTTCACTAATTAACATCATTCCTCTACTGTGCTCTGTTTAACAAGTTCAATCCCCGACCATTAAGAAATCAAATATGAAATAAATTCCATTAAAATAATTATCATGGGGCCAGGCACGGTGGCTCACGCCTGTAATCCCAGCACTTTGGGAGGCCGAGGCAGACGGATCATGAGGTCAGGAGATCGAGACCATCCTGGCTAACATGGTGAAACCCCGTCTCTACTAAAAATACAAAAAATATGCAGGCATGGTGGCGGGCGCCTGTAGTCCCAGCTACTCAGGAGGCTGAGGCAGGAGAATGGCGCGAACCCGGGAGGCGGAGCTTGCAGTGAGCCAAGATCGCGCCACTGCACTCCAGCCTGGGCGACAGAGCAAGACTCTGTCTCAAAAAAAAAAAAAAAAAAAAAAAAAAAAACTGTTAAACCTGAGATAGGAAAGGTACAAGACCACCTCAGTACCTCATAGGATTACTGGGAGATTTGAAGATATAATGTAGATAAGATGATAAATAAGCATTAGGCCCAGCACCTAGTGAGAATGAGAACTCAGTAAGCGGACACTACTAGAGTCATAATTAAATCTGTTTGATAACTATCCCTGATTGTTGAGAACTGCTCCAAAATGATATCCCAAGTCTCCCGGGATCTTTTAAGTTTCAATGGGTGCTATACTGCTGTGCATAAATTAATCCTAATACAGTTCAGATAAAGGAGAGACAAGGAGTGTTAAAGGGGAGTGGGATGAGAAAGCAGCCACTACAATAGTTTTCCTACATTTAAAATTTTAAAATATGCTGGGCACAGTTGCATACAGTCCCAGCTACTCAGGAGACTGAGGGAGGAGGATGGCTTGAGCCCAGGAGTCCAGGGATGCCTTGTGCTATGACAGCCTGTGAACAGCCACTGCACTCTAATCTGGGCAACATAGCAAGACTATGCCTCAAAAAACTTTTCATTTCTAAACATTAAAAAAATTTTACATTAAAAATGTGTTTCTAGATTAAATCTTAAAGAGATAATCACAAGGGTACAAAGGTGTACATAAATAGGCTAGGCGCAGTGGCTCACACCTGTTATCCCAGCTACTCGGGAGGCTGAGGCGGGAGAATCGCTTGAACCCAGGTTGCGGTGAGCTGAGATCGTGCCACTGCGCTCCAGCCTTGGCAACAGAGCGAGACACGGTCTCAAAAAAAAAAAAAAAAAAAAAAAAGATATACATAAATATATAGCAATTTCAAAACTTTATTTCAGGGAAAATACAAAAACACTACATGTTAATAAGAGACTAGTTAACTATACTGACTGACAAAAGCAAGTGAGAGTTTATCAATAGTATGATTCCATTTACGCAGTGTATAACGAATGCCTGCATCTGTGTACATAGGGCGGACCACCAGAACACTCCTGAAAATGTTATTAGTGGCTATTTCTGAAGTGTGGGACTTCAGTGACTTTTGTTCTTCATATTTTTTTGCACTGTTTGAATATATGAAGACATATCATTTTCAAGCAACAACAGGGCTATACAAAGACTTTACGCGAGGATATTTCCAGCTTAGGTGTTCCAAGACTAAAATGTATTCTTTACCTTGACTTTGTACTTCAGCCCAGTCCAACGGAACTGGAGGTTTCCTTTTCCGCCATAGTTTGTCCATTGTCAACAGATACCTGATGTCATCTTTAAAAAGCTTACAAAAGAAAGACAGATCCCATGAACCCCATAATCCCTAATTGATAAGATACAAGAAAACGTCATTGCTGATCTATATTACACTATGAAATCTGATTTAAAGATACATGTCATATACCAGCAGCATAACAATTTTCAAAAGGAAAAACATTTGTAAAAGGAAGTTCTAACAGAATCTCTACATTGAAAACAGCGAAATGCAGAAGTGCTCTGAGGAATGCAGAGTAAAGGAGCCCTGAACTGCCGACTGCCCCTGCCTTCCTAAGTCACCTCTCCAAAAGCTTCCCTAAATTTAGCTCCAAAGATCAGTCTGAAGCACAATCATACAAATAAATGTACATTATGTAGTTGTAAATAAATGTACAACTACAGACAATCACTGAGCCTAGGGATGCCAGTCAGCAATGCCTCCAAGCTCATGGGGACATGCACACAAAGTATACAGATTTTTAAACTAAAGTGCTTCACAACAGAACTTCTGAACTGCGATATCTTTAAAATGTGCCCTCCCCTCCAAAAATAACCCACAGAAACATGAACAAAAATAAAATGTAAAAACCCCCACACAATTATTACAAAAACAAAAACATTACAAGTAGATTGAGAAACTATCATATGAAAAGATGTGTTAGAACTTCAAGTGATTTTAATATTTTTTTCTTTTTCCTTATCTGCATTTTCTATTGTTGATTAATTTATTCAACACATTTATTGCTGGTACCAGGTAAGAACAGAAATTTGGCTATATTTAAAAATCACAGCCATTTCTATCAAAATATACTTAATCCATCAATACTAACTGAGCATCCTTAATCTTTATAGAGAATAAGCCAAACATACAAATAATCAGAATACAATTTAGTGTGAATATCACAAAGCCTTGAGTAAGGATTTCTGGCCAGGCGTGGTGGCTCACACCTGTAATCCAGCACTTTGGGAGACCAAGGTAGGTGGATCACGAAGTCAAGAGATCGAGACCATCCTGGCCAACATGGTGAAACCCCATCTCTACTAAAAATACAAAAATCAGCTGGGCGTCGTGGCGCGTGCCTGTAATCCCAGCTACTCGGGAGGCTGAGGCAGGAGAATCGCTTGAACCTGGGAGGCGGAGAGTGCAGTCAGCTGAGATCGCACCACTGCACTCCAGCCTGGCAACAGAGTGAGACTCAGTCTCAAAAAAAAAAAAAAAAAAAAAAAGATTTATATTTTATCTAAGAAATAAGGAAAGAGTCTCCTTATGACAGCAACATGTGAAATGGGTACAAAGGCAAGGAGATGAATCCACTATGACTTGGGTAACAAATGTGGCTGGAAACATTTTGTAGAGGATCTTGAAGGCTTGAACCAACAGTTTTCTAAGCCTAAGCTCCATCTCTTCTATTCAACTATTACTAAATATCAGGAGCCCCTCAGATTTCTGTACTGAACCATCTTTTCATTCTGTCCTCTGTGGTGTATCATGTCCATTTCCAGTAGTTAACCACATCTATAAACCTAGGAATCCCAACCATATCCCTAGTTGAAACCTCTCTACTTATCTACAAAACCACTTCTCTAATGTTCCAAAAGAATCTCAAATGAGTTCAAAATTGATTATTATCACCTTCTCCTACCCTCCCCCAACCCCTCTACACACATCTGCCTCCCAGCTCACTTATATCGGAGAACAGCACCTCTGTTCTTTGACCTGCCCAGGCTGAAGTGCAGTGGTGTGACCATAGCTCACTGAAGTCTCAACCTCTTGGGCTCAAGTGATATTCCTGTCCCAGCCTCCTGAGTAGCTGGGGACCGCAGGCTCAGGCCACCATGGCTGGCTATTTTTTTTTCGTTTTTAGAGATGGGGTCTTGCTATATTGCCCAGGCTGGTCTTGTGCTCCTGGCCTCAAGTGATCCTCCCGCCTCAGCCTTCCAAAGTGCTAGGATTACAAGTGTAAGCCACAGTGCCCAGCCAGGTACCATTTTTTATTCCACTGATCTTCACCATATACATGCAAAGTCCTGTTTAGTCTACTCCTCCATGTTCCAGTGGGAGTACAGATGGCTGTACTCCAGATTATTCTGGCACTGCACAACTCCAGGGGCACTGTCCCAGATTGGTTATAATATGAATATCAGATCCTAGGGTAGTATGTGCATCCCCTCTATCCCCTTATAGTGATCCTGTAAGACCACCTTTCAATGGATTCCCACTGTCTTGCTATAACATCCTTAAGAAGGCCTAGAAAGTCTGCCTGATCTGACCTCAACTTCTCTCTCCAGTCATCTTTTTCCACTCTCCCCCTTAATGGGATTTATGTCAGTTTTCCAACTGAGAGTTTCCTTGTACATACTGTACCCTATTCAGAGTTTCCTTGTACATACTGTACCCTATTCTGACTCTTATTCTTTCAAGCCTTGGGCTTAAATGTCACCTGCTCTAGAAAGCCTCTTCTGAAGCCTCTCCCTAACAACATCTGAAATGGGTATGCAGGCCAGGAGATGAGTCCTTTAGATGAAACTTATTATTCAAGGGCTGCAAAGCATCTGAACTTAATGTCATTAAGACTCTGAAGCTGAAATTTATTGTTCAAAGTTTGACTTCTCATCTAGACTGTGAACTCCCTCTAAAGAGCAAGGACTCTGTCTTCTGTCTTGTTCACAACTAAATCCCCTGTACTTAAAGAGGTGTCTGGCACACAGCAGATGTTTAAAATTATCTGCTAAATAACAGATTGGAGATGCACTTCAGATTTTTCTGGCTTTCAAGTCTTGCTCAGATTGGAATGGAAATAAGGATACTGGTTTGGAAGATACTGCTGTTGACCATATCGAAGTTTACGGCATCTTAAGTATAATCAAAATAAAAACCATTATGATGCTTAATACTGAGTGTCAACTTGATTGGATTGAAAGATGCAAAGTACTGGTCTTGGGTGTGTGTGTGAGGGTGTTGCCAAAAGACATTAATATTTGAGTCAGTGGACTGGGAAAAGCAAACCCTCTCTTAATCTGGGTGGGCACCATCTAATCAGCTGCCATTGAGGCCAGAATATACAGCAGCCAGAAAAACATGAAAAGACTAGACTGGCCTAGCCTCCCAGCCTACATCTTTCTCCCATGTTGGATGCTTCCTGCCCTCAAACATCAGACTCCAAATTCTCCAGTTTTGAGACTCAGACTGGCTCTCCTTGCTCCTCAGCTTGCAGATGGGCCTATTGTTGGGCCTTGTGATCGTGTGAATTAATACTCTATCAACTCCCCTTTGTATATATCTATCCTATTAGCTCTGTCCCTCTAGAGAACCCTAATACAACCATGTTTTAGAAAAGGGCTGTAGTGAGGAAATAAATGCAATAGGGATAAGAAAGTCAACCTGTGGGCTGGGCACGACGGCTCATGCCTGTAATCCCAGCACTTTGGGAGGCCGAGGCAGGCAGATCACCTGAGGTAGGAGTTCGAGACCAGCCTGGCCAATATGGTGAAACCCCCTATCTACTAAAAATACAAAAATTAGCCAGGCATAGTGGCGGACCTGTAATCCCAGCTACTCAGGAGGCTGAGGCAGGAGAATAGCCTGAACCAGGAGGCAGAGGTTGCAGCAAGCTGAGATCATGCCACTGCACTCTAGCCTGGGCGACAGAGCAGGATTCTCTCTCAAAAAAAAAAAAAAAGAAAGAAAAAAAAAAGTCAACATGTGACATCTGTTACCACTGAGGAAATAAGACGAAATACAAGCTGGGGAGAGCAGTATGTCATTTGATTAAGACAGCAGAACCTGTGCGTGTTGGAAAGCAGACAAAAGAAACCAAGAAAAAAAAGATCCGAGACACAGGACAGAGACGAAAATCCTGTCTGAAGAATGGTACAAAAGGAAAGCAAAACACCACATGCAAAAGTTAGCCTTTACCGAAAGTGGATTCTCTCCAGCAGAAAGAAAAAGAGTTTTCGGTTATGTGGAACAGTCTCTCAACAGGTAAATTATGTCCAATGGTTTCAAACCTGTTATTATATCCTTAAGGTCATCTGCTTAGTGAGAGTTGCAAGAATACTGAGGCAGTTTGATAAGAGCTGAGAAAGTTTTAAGCTCTGTGATAAACTTGCTAGGGGCTAGGCTCAGTGGTTCATGCCTGTAATCCCAGCACTTAGGGAGGCAGAGGCTGGAGGATCGCTTGAACCCAGGAGTTTGAGACTTGAAACCAGGAGTTTGAGATCTGCCTGGGCAACATGGTGAGACCCCATTCTCCACAAAAAGGAAAAAAAGAGTCAAAAAAACCCCACACACGTACAACTTGCTAGGGAGTCAAGACAGAACAAAAAAACTTTTAAAACACGGACCTACGGGTCTAGATGAACAATAATTAGGTAGACCCAATAAAAACAATTTCACAGATTTCTCTAGAAATATTTAACAGGCAAATAGTATATACTACTGATGAAGAGGGATTTCACCAAGAAAAAGGGGCTTATGGGGTTCAAGGGCAATTTAGGACACATGTCAGTCAAACTGCTAATAGCAGATATGAGCAAGAAATAAAAGTGAACATGAAGCCAGGAGCAGTGGCTCACGCCTATAATCCCATCACTTTGGGAAGCCAAGGTGGGCAGATCACTTGCAGTCAGGAGTTCATGACCTACCTGGCCAACATGGTGAGACCCCGCTTCTACTAAAAATACAAAATTAGCCAGGCCTGATGGTACACACCTGTAATCCCAGCTACTCGGAAGGCTGAGGCAGGAGAATCACTTGAACCCAGGAGGCGGGGCTGCAGTGAGCCGAGATCGTGCCACTGCACTCCAGCCTGGGCGACAAGAGTGAGACTCCATCTCAAAAAAAAAAAAAAAAAAAAAGTGAAGATGAGAAGCAGCAGGAAAACGAAGAAGTTCTGTAAAAAGTGAGAGAAGGAAAGACAACCAAGAAGGTATACAAGCCACCTCTCATTTTACCTCCTATTTAGATGTTATACTGATAGATTTAGTGTAGATGGTAACATTTTAAAACTTGCATATCCTGACTGCATCAATCATTTTATTAGGACATCACAAGGCATATACATAGAAGCTTAATTCAATTTTATGGACTATTTTAAAACAAGCAGAACTAGAACAATACATCTATGCACAACAATACATCTATCCATGATTATAAAAAAAGTAAATCTAACCTTGGTAAAAAGTTTAACTGGATCATATCCAGTTGATTTAGCCCATTCCTTAGTAGAAATACGTTTAATGTCACCATCTTCATTAGATGCTCTAGCTCTGGCTTCGGCTTCCGTTGGTTCCCCTATAAAACGATCATTATTTTATTTTCAACCGTAATAAATGTAGAACTGAACTCTTTTCACTCACCTTTGGGAATAAAAAGAAAGTCACTCATGGAAATCCCCAAATGCAACACATTCTGAGTTCAAGGAATAAGAAAATAACACATTCATCAGCATCTTTTTGTATCCCAGTTTCTTTCTTTCTTGTTTTTGGAGACAAAGTCTCACTCTGTTGCCCAGGCTGGAGTGCAGTGTTAAGATCTCGGCTCACTGTAGCTTCTACCTCTTGGGCTCAAGCCATCTTCCCGTCTCAACCTCACAAGTAGTTGGGACTACAGGTATGCACCACCATGCCTGGCTAATTTTTATATTTTTTGTAGAGACAGGGTTTTGCCATGTTGGCCAGGCTGGTCTCAAACTCCTGACCTCATGCAATCCAGCTGCTTCAGCCTCCCAAAATGCTGGGACTACGGGCGTGAGCCACCTTGCCTGGCCTGTTGTAACTTAGTTTCTGAAAGCTACACATATAACAGTTCAAAGCACAGACCAGTCATGAGATCTAGGAACAACTCGCAGCTCTATTTACTAGACTTGTGAAATTTCTCTTAACCTTGATTTCCTCATCAGTAAAACGGAATCATATTTTTTTTGTAAAACATTGTTTTGGATAGGCACGGTTGCTTACGCCTGTCCCAGCACTTTGGGAGGCCAAGGCGGGTGGATCACCTCAGGTCAAGAGTTCGAGACCAGCCTGGCTAACATGGTGAAACCCTGTCTCTACTAAATATACAAAAATTAGCTGGGCGCGGTGGCAGGTGCCTGTAATCCCAGCTACTCAGGAGCCTGAGGCAGGAGAATCATTTGAACCCAGAAGGCGGAGGTTGCAGTGAGCCGAGATTATACCATTGTACTCCAGCCTGGGCAATAAGAGAGAAACTCCACCTCTGAGACAAAAAAAAAAAAAAAAAAAAAAAACAAAAAAAAAACACATGTTAAACACACATTACCTAGCACATATAGCAATTTTTTTCCCTTAAGCTACCAAAATTAAATCAACAAAATAAAGATAATAGTATCTGATAAAACATATGCCAAATAATTTACTCACAGGCAGCTTCAGGGTCAGCTCTGTCAGGAGATACTTCTTGATCAGCATCTTCTTCCCCAAACAACTGGCTATAATTTAAGAATAGTAAATACTTCTGTATAACAAAGCATTCTAAACAAACATGTAATTTAGAATATTCCAAATATTTAGCAGAGATAAAGACTGAACAACTGGCTGGGCGCAGTGGCTCACACCTTTAATCCCAACATTTTGGGAGGCTGAGGCAGGCAGATCACAAAGTCAGGAGTTCGAGACCAGCCTGACCAACATGGTGAAACCTCGTCTCTACCAAAAATATAAAAATTAGCCAGGCGTGGTAGCGCACGCCTGTAATCCCAGCTACTCGGGAAGCTGAGGCAGGAGAATCGCTTGAACCCAGGAGATGGAGGTTGCAGTGAGCCGAGACTGCACAACTGCACTCCGGCCTGGGCAACAGAGCAAGACTCCGTCTCAAAAAAAAAAAAAAAAAAGTGAATAACGGATAAATGACTATAAACTTAAAAGTTTAACACAATGTGCTTGGACAGCTTGCATCCCAATTTCAACAGCAATGTAAGCAAGGTTAAATTTTAGCAGACCTACATCCATTCCTATCAGCGAGGCTCTGCACATTTCAATGTTAAAACCTCTGCTCAAGAAACAGGTGAGTGGTTTTCACTTACAACCTGGATAACATTCTAACACCAGAATAATGTTTGTGTTTACACCTGCAGCTACCTGTTCAACAAACATTATTATATACCTCAGGTGCAGAGTCCCCATCTAGGGGATAGAAATTCAGCAATGAACAAGATTAACTTTTTTTCATGGTAGAATGGCTCTTTACTGCTGAACAGAGTGTTAACAAACAATTTGAAAGTATTAAGCTGAGATTCTCTTTTATTAATAAAGTTATCCTAAAAACTGTTTAATAACTCATGGATATAAAAGTTTCCAGTATTTCCTCAAGTATATGATTAATGAAAGTTATCTTACAGAAATCCTTTGTACAACCCCCCACCCAACTATAATTTCAAAGCTCTGATAGTCACTCCCAACAATGGCATGTTAACACTTCCTAAAATTAACGCTTTGCCAACTAGTGAGTGCAAAATAGTAGACAGCCGCTAATTTAAAATGGTCCACCAATGATTTTTCACCTTTACAACAGGTTTATTGAGGTTATATTAAAATGCATTTTTGGCTGGGCGTGGTGGCTCACATGTGTAATCCCAACACTTTGGGAGGCCGAGGCGGGTGGATCAACCGAAGTCAGGAGTTTGAGACCAGCCTGGCCAACAAGGTGAAACCCTGTATCTACTAAAATACAAATATTAGCTGGGCGTGGTGGCAGACGCCTGTAATCCCAGCCACTCGAGAGGCTGAGCAGGAGAATCGCTTGAACCCAGGAGGCAGAGATTGCAGTTGCACTGCACTCCAGCCTGGGCAACAAGAGCGAAACTCCATCTCAAAAAAACAACAACAAAAAAAGCATCATTTTTTACTTAATGGTATTTTTTATTTATGATGAGTTTATCGGGAAGTATCTGAGAAGCATCTGTAGCTTACTATGGTCTTATACTTAATTTTCCAAGTAAGTCTTATGATTAAAACATAACTTGCTTATTGCTTATTTAGGTTTCCCTTCGAGTGAAAAATGCTGCTCATATTAATTTTGCCAGATTATCTTTTTTGTGTGTGTGACAGGGTCTTACTGTCCCCAAGGCTAGTGTGCAGTGGTGTGATCACAGCTCACTGCAGCCTCGACCTCCTAGGCTCAAGTGATCCTCTCACCTCAGCCTCCCAAGTAGCTGGGACCACAGGCATGTGCCACCATGCCTTGCTAATTTTTAAATTTTTTGTAGTGATGGGGTTTCACTATGTTGCCCACACTGCTCTCAAACTGCTGGGCTCAAGCAATCCTCCTGCCTTGGCCTCCTAAAGAGCCGGGATTACAGGTGTGTGTCACTGCACCTGGCCACATTATCTTTTTTTTTTTTTTGTCTTTTTCTGAGACACAGTCTCGCTCTGTCCCCCAGGTTGGAGTGCAGTAGCATGATCTCCATTCACTTCAACCTCCGCCTCCCAGGTTCAAGCGGCTCTCATGGCTCAGCCTCCCGAGTAGGTGGGACTACAGGCGTGTGCCACCACACCCCACTAATTTTTGTATTTTTAGTAGAGACAGGGTTTCGCCATGTTGCCCAGGCAGTTCTCAAACTCCTGGCCTCAAGTGATTCACCCACCTCAGCCTCCCAAAGAAAAAAAATGTTTGCCAAATAAATAAAGCTTCCAAGTGTAGTTTTTGTGAACATTTATCAAGTTGACACTGTTATGTATACTTTTCTGAGTGCAAAAATTAAAGACAATGTTTGCTGAAGGTTTCTACAAAATACCCTTTATCGGGTTGAGAACATTCTCATTTTAGTAAGAAGTTTTTTTATTTTTAATTTTATCTATTTATTTATTTTTTATTTTTTTGAGACGGAGTATCGCTCTGTCGCCCAGGCTGGAGTGCAGTGGTGCAATCTCAGCTCACTGCAACCTCCGCCTCCCGGGTTCACGCCATTCTCCTGCCTCAGCCTCCTGAGCAGCTGGGACTACAGGCACCCACCACCACATCCGGCTAATTTTTTTTATTTGTAGTAGAGATGGGGTTTCACCGTGTTAGCCAGGATGGTCTCGATCTCCTGACCTCGTGATCCGCTCGCCTCAGCCTCCCAAAGTGCTGGGATTACAGGCGTGAGCCACCTCGCCCGGCCTAGTAAGTTTTTATTCTGTTTTAGTAGAAACTTTCATCATGAAAGGCCATTTGCTAAATTTTACCAAATGCTTTCTCTGTATCTATGAAAACTATATAGTTTATCTTTAATTTCCTAATGAGTGAATGACATTTACAGATTTTCTAGTTTAAACCATGCTTGTATTCCTGAATAGACACGTGGTCAAGACACACTTTTTATTTTATATGATTCTAGATCCATATGGTAATTTTTTTTTTTTTTTTTTTGAGATGGAGTCTTGCTCTGTTGCCCAGGCTGGAGCGCAGCAGAGCGATCTCGGCTCACTGCAGCCTCCACCTCCCGGGTTCAAGCAATTCTCCTGCCTCAGCCTCCCAAGTAGCTGGGATTATAGGCGCCCACCACCATGTCCGGCTAATTTTGTATTTTTAATAGAGACAGGATTTCGCCATATTGGCCAAGTTGGTCTTGAACTCCTGACCTCAGGTGATCCACCCGCTTCAGCTTCCAAGTGCTGAGATTACAGGCATGATACACTGCGCCCATTCCCAGGATATGCTAATATTTTACATAGGATTTTTGCATCTATTATTTAGGTGTGAGACTGACTAGCAATTGTTTCTTATGCCATAATGGCCTTGACAGGTTTTGCTATCAAAGACATTGCTAGCCTAATAACACAAGCTAAGTAGTATTCCCTTTTAAAAATTTCTCAGGGAGAGTTTAGCTAATATTACAATATACTCCTTGCAAGTTTTGTGAAATGAATCTGTAAAAATAACATAGGTTCGGTGCATTATTTAGAATAATTTAAACTACTTACATTGCTCTAAGGTATACTGCTAAATTCAGGCATTCTATTTTCCTTTCATTTTTTTTTTTTTTTTGAAACATCATCTCATGCTGTCCCCCAGGCTGGAGTGCAGTGGCCCAATCTCCACCCACTGGGTTCAAGTGATTCTCATGGCTCAGTCTCCCAAGTAGCTGGGACTACAGATGCCCACCACCACGCCTGGTTAATTTTTGTATTTATAGTAGAGACGGGGTTTCGCCATGTTGGCCAGGCTGTTCTCAAACTCCTGGCCTCAAGTGACCCACCCACCTCAGCCTCCCAAAGTGCTGGGATTGCAGGCCTGAGCCACCGCACTGGGCACTTAGTAAGTTTTTAAAAATGTATTTACCCAGATCATTTAAATTTTTTATGTACTACCATGGTCTTATTATCATCCCTTTTTTTTCTTATAGCCTATTTAATCTCTGCTATCTGTATTCCCCGTTTAGTTCTCACTTACTCCTCTTCTATTTTGTAATCAAATGTGCTCTTACTTCAATTAATATCCTTCCTTCTCATTCTTTTTTTCTTTCTTTCTTCATTTTAAGACAGGATCTCACTATCACCCAGGCTGGAGTGCAGTGGCACTATCTCGGTTCACTGCAGCCTCAACCTCCCAGGCTCAACTGATCCTCCTACCTCGGCCTCCCAAGTAGCTGGGAGTACAGGTACACCTGGCTCATTTTTCTATTTTTTGTAGAGACACGGTTTTGCCATGTTTCCCAGGCTGGTCTCAAACTCCTGGGCTCAAGGGATCCTCCCATCTCACCCTCCCACAGTGCTGGGATTAGAGGCATGAGCCACCATGCCCACACCATTCTCATTTCTTAAAGTGTATTCTGTGGTTCATTTTCTAACTTAAATTGGATTCTTAGTAAAGATTTAGTAATTAATGTTCAGCCTTTCTTCATGTATGTAAATCTGTAACTTTTTGCCAACCACCACATTCAATACATTCTGGTATAGCATTTTCATCATTATCAGTACAGAGTATTTTTAACTTCCATTGTGATTTCTTTTATAACCAATGGGTTATTTGTAAGTAAATGTTCACATTTCCAAATATAAAGATTTTTATCGCTTAGTTACATGGCTGTCTCCAATATAAGACTAAGTTTCCTGAACAGTCATGGCCACATTTTTTTTTTTTTTTTTTGAGACAAATTCTCACTCTGTTGCCAAGCTGGAGTGCAGTGGCGCGATCTCGGCTCACTCCAACCTCCACCTCCTGGGTTCAAGCAATTCTCTTGCCTCAGCCTCCCGAGTAGCTGGGATTACAGGCACTCGCCATCACGGCCAACTAATTTTTGTATTTTTAGTAGAGATGTGTTTCACCATGCTGGCCACGCTGGTCTCAAACTCCTGCGCTCAGGTGATCCGACCACCTCAGTTTCCCAAAGTGCCGGGATTACAGGTGTGAGCCACCGCACCCGGCCAGCTACATTTAACCTAAGAAATACTGCAAGAAAGCTACTAAAGCATCCCTTCACCATATTTAAACATCCTGAGTTCAATCTCTTCAAGGTAATTAAATAAAAATGACTCCATTTTCCATCATCAGTACCGAAAAGCATGCCAAGAAATATACACTCTTACTTGAACAAGTACTTTGCCCAAACGATGCAATGTATAGGTTCTGAAGGTGTGTTACGAATTGTACAGCCAGGAAAGGTTCTCTGGGTCGGCTTAGGATGACACTCATAACACTCGGTCACACCCTATGAAGTCAGGATATGAGAAAAATTTACTCCATGATGGCAGTTTCTCAACATTATAAGGTAATATAAACACTTCATTCATCTATATTCCAACTACGTTTTACGTTGTCAAGGAAATTTTAAAATATTAGTGACTCCAAAATGCTTACTTTATGATAAACTAACACAAAAGCTAACTGAATCTACCAGTCATAGCTAAGGCTGTGCCAGGACGCCGACTCCTGGTTCAGTGAACATGACTTACAAGCCCAAATAAAAATTACTACACCTGAGTGTCAAATATGAGTTTACCTTGATCACACTAAACAGAAAAACTACTGGAAAGACAAACAGCAGCTTTCCAAGAAATTATTTCTCAAAGTTGTAAATGTTATCTAAATATTATTCGCAGCCATTTTCTTATATGTGTTTTTTTTTTTTTTTTGAGCAAAACTAAGTGGGTCTGGGGAATACAGCCATATCCTTATAATCTCCTGAAATTAAGTAAACTACAAGATTAATTTCAAGATATATCTCCCTACACAGAAAAATCTTAGGTGTTACTAAACCAAATACTCTTCATTTTATTGATATACGTTTCTTTTTGGCGGTGGGGAGACGGAGTCTTGCTCTGTCACCCTGGCTGGAGTACAGTGGCATAATCTTGGCTGCAATCTCCGCCTCCCAGGTTCAAGCAATTCTCCTGCCTCAGGCTCCCAAAGAGCTGGGATTACAGGCATCTCCCACCACTCCCAGCTAATTTTCATATTTTTAGTAGAGACGGGGTTTTTCCATGTTGGCCAGCTTGGTCTTGAACTCCTGACTTCATGTGATTCGCCCGCCTTGGCTTCCCAAAAGTGCTGGGATTACAGGCGTGAGCCACTGCGCCCAGCCCATTTTATTGATACACATTCAAGTTTAAAATTACAATTTAAGGAATTTATGCCTTGGAAGAAGTACATGACACCTGAGACAACTTTTCAAAACTATCAAATGAATCATCTTTCATTATCTCAGATATTCCTAACCTCAGTCTCTTCTTTTTTTCTTTTTGTCTGAGACGGAATTTCGCTCGTTGCCCAGGTTGGAGTGCAATGGCGTGATCTAGGCTCACCACAACCTCTGCCTCCCGGGTTCAAGTGATTCTTTTGCCTCAGCCTCCCAAGTAGCTGGGATTACAGGTGCGTGCCACCACACCCAGCTAAATTTTGTATTTTTAGTAGAGATGGGGTTTCACCATGTTGGCCAGGCTGGTCTCGAACTCCTTACCTCAGGTGATCCGCCCGCCTTGGCCTCCCAAAGTGCTGGGATTACAGGCGTAAGCCACCATGCCCAGCCACCTTCAGTCTTAATACACAGTGGTGTGTCAGAATCACAGTAACAAGGATATAAAAAGCAATGTCTGGCCGGGCGTGGTGGCTCATACCTGTAATCCCAGCACTTTGGGAGGCCAAGGCAGGCGGATCACCTGAGGTCAGGAGTTTGAGACCAGCCTGGCTAACATGGCAAAACCTCATCTCTACCAAAAATGCAAAAATTAGCCAGGCTAATTGTTCAAGAATCAAAACTCTCAAATACTGTTTTAATATAAATTGCAGCAGATTTAGAGTTTTCTCTGAAACACCATTTCTGATGCCCTCAGCCTTCCAATATGCTTTCTTGAGGGTAGCCACATGGCAAGCAGTCATGAGACTCATACTGCAATGCAGACAGAGAACTTCCGTCTTGATCTGTCAACAGATACTGAAGGCCTCCACTTATTCAACAACTTAATACGCACTGACATACACAACAGTCTTTTGTAGAATGGTATTCAATAAGGTTCCAAGAATAACATTTAACAGTTAAAAGAAACAAAGACACAATTTCTAACATGAATAAGCTGCCAAAAAAAATTAGACGCAACCAGCAAATGTTAAGTACATTATAATTCTCTTTCTATAGTTTCAAAACATGGAAAACGACTCTTCAAATGTAACTACAATATTTAACTTCTTAAAAGAACTGAAAGAAAAAATATCTGAATAGCAAATGAAGCCGTGTTGAGGTTTTAAAAACTGAGATATGTGCCAGGCATGGCGGCTCACACCTATAATCCCAGCACTTTGGGAGGCCGAGGCAGGTGGATCACCTGAGGTCAGGAGTTGAAGACCAGCCTGACCAACATAGAGAAACCCCGTCTCTACTAAAAATACAAAATTAGCCAGGCGTGGTGGCGCACGCCTGTAATCCCAGCTACTCGGGAGACTGAGGCAGGAGAATCGCTTGAACCAGGGAGACGGAGGTTGCGGCGAGCTGAGATCGCGCCACTGCACTGCAGCCTGGGCAACAAGAGCGAAATTCTGTCTCAAAAAAATAAACAAATAAATAAATAAACCAAAACAAAACTGAGGTATGAGCACACAGGTATTTTGTTCTATTATTCTCTAGTTGTATTTAAATGTTTGAAGTACTTCACAAATACACCCCTAAAAAGTTTTCAAAGTTCCCTTCCACATTATAAGCCCAGACTCTTAGACAACAGAATTTTTTGGTTTTTTTTTTTTTGAGACAGAGTTTCGCTCGTTGCCCAGGCTGGAGTGCAATGGCGTGATCTCAGCTCACCGCAACCTCCGCTTCCCCGGTTCAAGGGATTCTCCTGCCTCAGCCTCCCAAGTAGCTGGGATTACAGGTGCACACCACCACGCCCGCTGATTTTTGTATTTTTAGTAGAGACAGGGTTTCACCATGTTGGACAGGCTGGTCTCAAAATCCTGACCTCAGGTGATCCGCTCGCTTCGGGTTCCCAAAAAGTGCTGGGATTACAGGCATGAGCCATCACGCCTGGCTTTTTTTTTTTGAGATGGAGTCTCACTCTGTTGCCCAGGCTGGAGTGTGGTGCCATCTTGGCTCACTGTAACCTCCACCTCCGAGGTTCAAGCAATTCTCATGCTTCAGTCTCCCAACTAGCTGGGATTACAGGTACACGCCTCCACACCCAGCTAATTTTTGTATTTTTTGTAGAGACGTGGTTTCACTACATTGGAGAGGCTGGTCTCGAACTCCTGACCTCAAGTCATCTGCCTACCTCAGCCTCCCAAAGTGCTGGGATTACAGGCATGAGCCACTGCACGCAGCCGACACAAAGAAATTTTTGATGCCTGGTATATCATGCTTACCACTCTAAGGATTTTAATACAAAAGTCAAATGAAACAAAATGGCAGAGCTGAAAGATTTCCTTGCCCATAGTCTTTTGAGCACGTTTATAGCATTTTAAGTTTGTTTTTTGAGACAGAGGCTTGATCTGTAGCCCAGGCTGGAGGGCAGTGGTGCAATCTCAGCTTACTGCAACCTCTGCCTCTCAGGTTCAAGTGATTCGCCTGGCTCAGCCTCCCAAGTAGCTGGGATTACAGGCGCCGGCCACCATGTCCAGCTAATTTTTGTATTTTTAGTAGAGATGGGGTTTCACCATGCTTGCCAGGCTGGTCTCAAACTCCTGACCTCAGGTGATCCGCCCACCTCGGCCTCCCGAAGTGCTGGGATTACAGGTATGAGCCACTGCACCTGGCCCCGCATTTTAAGTTTTATATAAGCATAAAAGTCCTTACATTTTGGATGTTCACCTGTTCATTTTATATAAATACAAAGTTTATTTCCTCCTGCTCCAAGGTCTCAAATAAATATTTGGGAAGTTAAAAAAATAAAACTTTTCTTTACCTTTTTGATAGTAGTTACTTGTCCAAGATACCCAGCTGTTCCACTTTCAATAAGAGGAACATCAGCTGCCAGGCACATTCTATTAACATGGTTTCGGGCAGCTGGAAGTAAAACAAACAGTATGAGTTTTTGGGAAAAAAAAAATTAGTTATCTTTAATTAGGATGACACAGACTCAAAACTATCTTACTGGCTTCATTTTTTGTACAATTTTCTTATAGCTATGGCCAGAATAATACAACTGTTAATTACAGACATTTAAGAGACATTCACTTAGCAAAATATCAAATAGAATTTATATCACAAATTTACTCCAGGAGAAGTACCCACAGAAACACATAATCTTAAAAATCCAACGTGCCATATTTCTCTTCTATTGCTGTACCTTACACAAAACACTGTTTCAAGGTGTTCCTAAACTCACCACTATTCTAATATAACTAGCAGATAATACATGATAGAAATGAAGGCAGAATGTGGAATATCAACTTGGAACTATTAAAGTAGTTTAAGGCTAGGGAAAAAAGATGAGTCAGGTTAAGAGAGTAATTTCACGCCAGGAGCACTGGCTCATGCCCATAATCTCAGCATTCTGGGAGGCTGAGGTGGGAGGACTGCTTGAAGCCAGGAGTTCGAGGCCAGCCTGGGCAACAAAGCAAGACTTCATCCCTACAAAAATAAACATAAAAAAATTAGCCGGGTATGGTGGTACCTGTCTGCAGAGTAGCTACTGCAGAGGTTGAGGTAAGAGTATCACCTGAGCCCATTTGAAGGCTTCAGTGAGTTATGATCACACCAGTGCACTCTAGTCTGGGCAACAGTGAGACCCCCCAAGCCTTAAAAAATAAACGTAATTTTGACTTTTCCTTGTGTTTTTTATTTAGATATTTCTGGCCCAACTTGTTGTAAACTCACTTAGTAGATATACTTTTACATGTGGAAGTAATTACAGACAAAGAATATCACTCAAGCATCCCCCACCCCACCCTCCAGTCACACTTTTTCTTTTTTTGAGACAGGGTCGCACTCTGTCACCAAGGCTGGAGTGTAGTGGTGTGATCTAGGCTCACTGCAACCTCTGCCTCCTGGCTTCAAGCGATTCTCCCACCTCAGCCTCCGGAGAAGCTGGGACTACAGGCACATGCCACCACACCGGCTAATTTTTGTGTTTTTTGGTAGAGACGGTTTCACCATGTTGACTAGGTTGGTCTCGAACTCCTGACCTCAAGTGATCCTCCTGCCTTGGTCTCTCAAAGTGCTGGGATTACAGGCGTGAGCCACTGTGCTGAGCCACAGTCACACTTTTTGAGAGCTTTTCACTTCACTTCTATTTATACCTTTTGGTAGAAATGCAGAGAATATGATAGCTAAATTCCCGCCTGGAATAAGTCATTTCTATATAAAACTGCAATCAATGGGCATGCTTTAAACTCGATCATTTCTCTTAAGTCTTTTAAGTTCTAAATCACAATAGTCTAATAAATATTAAATTTGTAAACAAATTTGATATGGGAGAGAGGAAATACTGAGAAATTAAAAGTATTAAAATAACCTCACCTCTGTTATCTAAAGCATTCATAACCAGTATAAACTGTCGGAAAAATTCCACATTATAGTCAGGGCTACAAAACAAAATAAAAAAAGGTCACCAAAATAACTAGCCTTCCACATGATCTTTGCAGTATAATAAACAGTTCTGAAAAAAACATAGTAACTGTAAACAAAACTGATATCAGGATTATATGTCATATAGATAGTAAGGTTTGACTCTTTCCAAACATAAGCAGATTTTAAAGAAATTATTTCCTTCAAATTCCTATCCTTTTTGGCCAGCTAGGGCACAAGAGAAAGATCTCAAACTGGCAGAAAGATGGCATGACTTCACTAGTCCCACTAGGCCTTCTTTGGGCAGCAAGTGCCTGGGAACGCATAAAGAACACATTCCCAGGATCTGCCTGGCCTCTGACTTCACCTCACATGATCAGGATCAGGCAGGGTTCAGGCCCCTAGGGTCTCTGTTTTTAGCAGCACTGGGAAAGCAACACAGGGTAAGGAGGTTATAGGGCTACAGGCAGGTTCACAGAGTAAAAAACTAAAAAACAAGCCGGAGATACAGGCCGGGTGCAGTGGCTCACGCCTGTAATCCCTGCACTTTGGGAGGCCAAGGCGGGTGGATCACCTGAGGTCGGGAGTTTGAGACCAGCCTGGCCAACATGATGAAACCCCGCCTACTAAAATACAAAAATTAGCTGAGTGTGGTGGCGTGCGCCTGTAATCCCAACTACTCAGGAGGCTGAGACAGGAGAATCGCTTGAACCCAGGAGGCGGAGGTTGCAGTGAGCCAAGATCATGCCACTGTACTCCAGCCTGGGCAATAAGCGCAAAACCCTATCTCACACACAAAAAAAACACAATCCGGAGATACAAATGCCCTGAGAAAGTGTTAAGTACCTCAATTCCAGTACCTCAAACAAGGACTATTTTTAACACTATTTACTTGCAAGCTAAACCACCATAGATAAAGGACAATTTCGGCCCACAGTTCCTTTGCTCCAACTCCTCCAAAATTATATATTTACTCTATCTTTACTGAGATAAATATATTTATGTACTGTCAATACTACTGCCCTACCACAATTCCAAGTGTTATATTACAGAAGTCAGAGTCATACTACAGATTATTTTGGGAGGGAAACTTTTAAACAAAAAAAGGCAAACACTTTAGAAAAGTCTGAATCATCATAAATAAGGATATTTCATAGTTTAAAATATCTTCTTACTTAAGGCAAGCATATAAGGTCTTTATAAATTTCCAAGTAACTTATTTATTAAAAGTATTAAACTATCTCACCATTCTAAATCATTCAAACCATGTATTTATGAACTGGTAAAAAGAATGCCACTCTGTAAGCAGAAACCACCACTGTTTAATAATTCTAGAAAAATCATTTTTTTTAAAAAAGCTGAATGACTTTGAGCTTATATATTTGGCTTACAAAACCCTTATACAACTTTGCAATGTAATCACTATAGCATACTTCATGATGCTGTCATGGTAGGCAACGATATTAGCTTTCGGGTAAAACTGCAGTACACTTTCCTTGGCAACCTGGAAAAATAAACAACACTGAATTACTACAATATTTCTGTTCCTATCTGAAATCTGCTTCTGGAAGCCACAATGCTGTTATCTACTTACATAGTACCTTATTTATATTAAACACCAAAGAAGTCCAAAAATGTGAGAAAATTGCATTAGGGTTAAGCTACACTTATAAAATTATACTTTTATACTTATAAAATAACCGGAGAGCCCCCCCTGACCCACGTACCACCAAACACACTTCTACATGAATGGCAAGCTTCAGCAAAAATACAACATGAAGTAACCAAGTGTCATTCATTCATTCACTTAACAAGTATTTACTGAGCATCTTGCATGTACCAGGAACTATACAACGTACATGTCAAGCAAGAGAGACATTAATCAAATAACAATCCAGATTAAGTTCAACTACAGACTCTGATAAATGCCATGAGAATGACAGGAAAAGGCCAGGCATGGTGGCTCATGCCTGTAATCCCAGCACTTGGGAGGCCAGTGTAGGAGGATCCCTTGAGGCCAGGAGTTCTAGGCTGCAGTAAGCCATGACCGCATCACTCCACTCCAGCCTGGGGCGACAGAGTGAGACCCTATCTCTAAAAAAAAAAAAAAAAAAAAAAAAGAAAAGAAAATGATAGGAAAAGTAAAGTAAAGGTTGTTATGAGAGAAAAACCAACCTGACTTAGTCTAAAAGGTTTAGGAAAGTACTCCTGGAGGAGGAAGCCAAAATATGAAAGAAAAAGAGAAACAAGTGGGGGTTTGCCAAACAGGTTGGGAGACAGGCAAAGGGAAAAGATGTTTTAAGACTCTGAATCACCAAGGAACACTAAAAAAACTAAACAAAGATCGGGGGAACTGTCTTGTTTCAACTAGGACAGCAGCATAACGCTCCTCTAGCCCCCAAACATAGCAGTAGTCAACCTCTAGGGGGTGTAGGAACACAAGGTGCATCCTAAGCAAAGCATCAGAAACTTAAATATAAAGAGGCCATGAAAGTTACACCATCACGGGATTATTTCCTTTTTAGAACAAAAAAGGAGGGCTTAATCTTTAGTCCTTTACTTGATATATCTTTATCCTTCACAATCTCTCAGCTGAAATGAGAGCTTCACCCATTTTTTCCCTCCTATATGACAGGCAGGATTAATCTGGTATCACAAATAGAAGCTCCATCAAGTTATAGAAATGGTATGAGAAATATAGTTACCTGTGCCTTTGATCTTCCAACATGTTTCTTTTGAAACAAAAACTGTCTGTTGAGGTTGCTTACATCAATAGTATCCAGATCAATCTACAAATGCATAAACCCCAGATAAATGACAAACGTTTACGTATGTTTGAGCTGTATCACTACTCTCAGCACCTGTAATCCAGAACTTTTGATATCTGCTACATTAGTGGAGAAAGCGTTTTTCGAATCGCCATACCAAAATTGTTAAACTGATAAAGAATAATTTAATGCATGTAAGAATCTAGATTTAATGTCAGAGATAAACTTCTCAAAAATACTTTGAAAGAATGGTATATTTTGTTTGTTTAATCATCCTGGAAAATATTTCAGGAAACTCCCTGGATGCCATAAAAATATGTGAATTCATTAAAACTATATGTGCTGTCGAGGTAAACACTAACTGAAAATATATTAACATATTTCTCTACACCGGGAGTGGTGGCTCATACCTGTAATCCCAACACTTTGGGAGGACAAAGTGAGAGAATCGCTTGAGCCCAGACCTTCAAGACCAGCCTAAGCAAAATAGTGAGACCCTGGTGGCTACAAGAAATAGAAAAAATAAAATTAGGTGGCACATGCCTGTAGTCACAGCTACTCGGGAGGCTGAGGTGGAGGATCACTGGAGCCTGGGAGGCGGAGGTTGCAGTGAGCCGAGATCGGGCCACTGCACTCTAGCCAGGGTGACAGGGCCAGACCCTGTCTCAAAAAATACTAAAGTATTTCTCTTTCAATCGAATTACTCTTTCAAGTACAAAATATTAAATTTAACTATGCCCTGTTCTTTTTCTTTGTTTTTTGAGACAGGGTCTCCCTCTGTTGCCCAGGCTGGAGTGCAGTGGTGCAAACACAGCTCACTGCAGCCTCGACCTCCCAGGCTCAAGCGATCCTCCTGACACAGCCTCCCGGGTAGCTGGGACCACAGGCGCACACCACCACGCCCCGCTAATTTTCTTTTTTTGTAGAGACGGGGTTTCTCTATGTTGCCCAGGTTCTGTTCTTTTTCTTAAATGATACATGGCAAACGTTTATTGAATTTTTGCTGCCTCCCTTAATTCAAGCCTTCATCCATACACAATTTCATTTACTATTAACCTGAGAACTGTGAAAGGAAACTTTTACACATGGTTAAAAAAGTATCATGTTTTAAGTTTTATCTAATTTTTGCTTAAATATATAATACATAAAGGAAAGAAACAATGACTCAGTCGGCCACCCGTACTTTTTTGTTCATTCCATGTTTCCACTAGCCCTTAAGACACTTTAAACTCACACCGAAGGGCCAGTAACATCTCCAATCTCTAAAAAGTTTGCATTAGTAGAAATAACGATTCAAAATAGCACTGGCTTGTCAACGTACACCAATGCAAAAGGCACAGTCCTAACGTCTTTAATGAAACAAGCGAGTGTACCGTCTACTGTGAGAGCAATGACAGTCACGCAGCCTGCGGGAGCCCTGCCACTCGCTCCGTGACCCAGGGTAAGTTACTCAACCCCATTGCGTCTCCCTTTCCTCATCTGTTAAAAATAAAGCAGGGTGGAAATAGCGTTTGCACTCCTCGGGTGGTATGAAGATGGTGCGCGTTCCGTGTGTAAACCCGCTCGTGACCAGCGCTCGGGACGCGTTGGTCGCTATCATTGCCATCCTCCGCCCCGCGTCGTTACTTCGGAGTTACGACAGGGACCTCAAAATTAAAGTCACAACATCCGCGAGGGACTCAATCCTCTCCCGCATCTCCTAACAGCCGGGAATTTGTTTTGAAGGGAGGATAAGAGGCGGCTTCACGCCCACGAAGCGCCACACATTGGCGCTGCCGGGGAGGCGGGGGCCCGCGGCCTCCTCGGCGTCCGGAGCCGGCCCAGCGAGCGGAGGCCCGCCCCGTGCCCAAAGAACAGTCTCCTCCCGCGGGGGGGGCACAACCCGAGCCTCTCAGCCTGCCCCCGCTCCGCAACTCCGGTCCCGGGCTCCGGGCCCTGAGCCTCAGAGCCCCTGGAGCCCCGGAACCCCCGAATCCCAGCCCCCGCACCACAGCCCGCCATTCACGCGCGCGCGCCCGGCCCTCACCAGGTCGATGTGGGAGAAACCGGTGAGCACGAGATTCTTGAGGAGCTCGCAGCCGATGCCGCCCGCCCCCACCACCAGCACCCGGCCCCCGGCCACCGCCTCAGCCAGCTCCCGGGGCAGCCCCCGCGACAGTGCCATGGCGGGACAACCACGAGCCGCGGCGGAGGCGGAGGCGGGAGAACCGAGCCGCGGCCGGAAGCGGGTGGGGGAAGGGCGGCCTGGTTTCCGCTCCTGCGCACTACAGCCTCCGGCAGACACAGGCAGGGCACATCGCGCCGGGGTGTGCTGCAGCCCGCGGGGACCGGCAGGCTCTTGCAAAGGGCTGGCGACCTCCAGCTGAGACCGGCGGTGTTATTCCCACACCAGCATAGGCCCGCCATCAGACCTAAAAAGTCTAAGGGTCGCCTTCTAGCCTGGGGTTTCAACTCCCAGCCAAGACTTCCTTACAGGTTAGAAAACTGATGTCCCTATACGTAAAGAGCTCTTACAAATTAACAAGTGTCACCCCCAAAAAAATATAGGCAAAGGATGTGAACAGGAAACTCACAAAAAATTGGACAATATGATCAATAAGCGTATTAAAATGTAAACCATAAAAGAATCGCTTGAACCCTGGAGGTGGAGGTTGCAGTGAACCAAGATCGCACCACTTCACTCCAGGCTGGGTAACAGAGCAAGACTCCGTCTCAAAAAAGAAAAAAATGTAAACCATGCAAAATGGTAAGATTTTCACCTGCCGGGCGCGGTGGCTTACGCCTGTAATCCCAGCACTTTGGGAGGCCGAGGCGGGT
The DNA here is from genome assembly GCF_000001405.40 of Homo sapiens. Taxonomy (NCBI): domain Eukaryota; kingdom Metazoa; phylum Chordata; class Mammalia; order Primates; family Hominidae; genus Homo; species Homo sapiens. Next base: position 92,799 of record NW_025791809.1, on the reverse strand, counting down.
GGATCACGAGGTCAGGAGTTCTGAAACCAGCCTGACTAACATGGTGAAACCCCCATCTCTACTAAAAATACAAAAATTAGCCGGGCGTGGTGGCGTGCGCCTGTAATCCCAGCTACTCGGGAGGCTGAGGCAGGAGAATCGTTTGAACCCAGGAGGCAGAGGTTGCAGTGAGCCGAGATCGCGCCACTGCACTCCAGCCTGGGCAACAGACTCCGTCTCAAAAAAACAAACAAACAAACAAACAAAAAAAAACACCGAAACAGCTGGGGGTGGTGGCACAAGCCTGTAGCCCCAGCTACTCAGGAGGCTGAGGCAGGAGAATTGCTTGAACCCAGGAGGCGGAGGTTGCACCACTGCACTCCAGCCTGAGCAATACAGCGAGACTCTGTCTCAAAAAAAAAAAAAAGTTTTTCACCTACTAAACTGGTAGAAAGAAAAAATAAGTAACACTTATCAAGGGATTGGGAAACAAGCACTCCAACACACTCCAGGTAAAGATTCCAAAGCAAAGCTTCTCTAGAGGGCGTGGTGGCTTGCACCTGTAGTCCCAGCTACTCAGGAGGCTGAGGCAGGAGGATCACTTAAGCCTGAGAGGTCGAGGCTGCAGTGAGCTATGCCCTTACCACTGCACTCCAGCCTGAGAGACAGAGCAAGACCCTGTCTCGAAAAAAAAGAAAAAAAAACCCTAAAATTGTGCACAACTTTTGACTCATTCATTCCAATTCTAGGAAACTGTCCTGTAGCAGTTATCATTGATTTAAAATATATATAAATTTAGTTACAGGGATGGCCATCATGGGAATAAAAATTGGAAAATACAAGTGGCTAAAAATTGTATAAAGCTTTTGATGTATATTTAAAAAATAGAGCAATTATAAATTATGTTGTGGGAAAAATATTAATGGGAAAATGCTCCAAATATAATGTTAAATGCAAGAAACAAGCCCACCCCATGATCACCTAGGCCTCATTATCCTCATCTACGTAGGCAGAGCATGTCTGAACATGGCTGGGAGTGTTTTTATACTGCTGTTATGGGGCTGAAGGGAAGGGGTTGATCATGTTAAAAATAAAGAAAGGGGAAGACTGGAAGGCAGCTGGATAAAGGGACAGTCTCCAGAACGGAGTAAAGACCCCTTCCTGGGATACTGCAGGAGCAGAAGATGGGAGTGGGTGAGGGCGGGGACCTGGGCTGATGAACATGGGCAGGTCTAAACAGCCAGGGTCACAGAGCAAAAACCTCCAGCAGCTAGAGCAGGTTCAGTGGCTTGATCAGGTGCCAGAAACAGCATAGGAAGCACTGGAGTGCACGTGTCAGAGGTGTACACAAGAGGCTGACCACTGCTCTTGGCTCTTTCGCTGCTCTCCTCCCCCCTAGAATGCCCACCAGAACGGCTGTGCAGACAACACCAGCCCTCTGGACTAGAGAGGAGCTACCTTCCTAGCTGCCACTGTGACAGCTGGCCCTGGACCCTGGAAGGGCAGACCAACCCACAGTCAGGAGGTCCTGGCCCGGCCCCGGCCCCGGCACCAGCACCCAAAGGCAAAAAGGCAACTCAGAAAAACAGAGGTTAATAACTTGTGAGTTAAAATAAGGTACATACAAACATATTTGGATGTAAACATTTGTTTTAATTTATATTAATAAAAGGAAATGCTCTACTTAAACAATAATTCATCTGGGTCTTCTTGTATAATACAAAATTCTTCCATGGGAGTCTGATGATTTGGGGGCCAGCAACTCTTCTCACATGTGTAAACTAGAATTGTTCCAAATTCCACAGAAAGACCTGAAAAATACCACATATTCAGGCTTCCAGCAAAAAGAGTTATGAGACTGATGTTACTAAAAGGAATGATTTTACCTTATAAGCTGAAAAAGTAATTAGGTAAAGCAAAAACAGTGCTTACTGCTTTCAGCTATAACAGAATCACAGTCTATCCTATAATAAGTGAATATTGATAACAAAAAAGCAAAATTAATTTAAAGTGGCAGGAAAATATACTTTAAAAATAAACAAAAATTTCAGCAAGTGTTCATTATAACTGTCTAGCTATCTGATGTTGAAAATCTATATTAATCTACATGGTTCATGTGATATACATAGCTTTTGGCTAGGTGCGGTGGCTCACAACTGTGATCCCTGCACTTTGGGAGGCCGACGGGGAAGGACAGCTTGAGCCCAGCCTAGGCAACATAGTGAGACACCTGTCTCTACAAAAAACAAAACAAACAAACAAACAAACAAAATATATATATATCTCATATAGCCTGGGCAACACAGTGAGACTTTACTAAAAAAAAAAAAATTCACTGGGTGTAACGGTGCACACCTGTAGTCCCAGCTACTCAGAGGAGACTAAGGCAGAAGGATCACTTGAGCCCAGGAGATAAAGGCTGCAATAAGCTATGATTGCACCACCGTACTCTGGCCCGGGTGATAGAGCGAGACCCTGTCTTAAAAAAAAAAAAAAAAAGAAGAGAGAAATATATATCATAGGACACACTACTGCCGAGAAAGGATAAGGATTCAGGCAAAAAATATAAAATAAACCCTAAGAGTTTACAGAAAATTATCAATGAATAAAGCCATTAAAAAAAGATACCAAGAAAACATAAGCAATAAGAACTCCTGATATTAGAACAGAAAAGCAGGAGTCAAGAGGATGACGTAGGCAATGATTTGCAGCAGCAAAGGAGAAATACATTGTTTAAAAATGTATGCATTGGCTGGGCACAGCACATTGGCTCATGCTTGTAATCCCAGCACATTGGGAGGCTGTGGTATATGGATCACCTGAGGTCAGGAGTTCAAGACCAGCCTGGCCAACATGGTGAAACCCCGTCTCTACTAACAATACAAAAAATTAGCTGGGCGTGGTGGTAGGCACCTGTAATCCCAGCTACTTGGGAGGCTGAGGCAGGAGAATTGCTTGAACCTGGGAGGCACAGGTTGCAGTGAGAAGAGATTGTGCCACTGCACTCCAGCCTGGGCAACAGAGTGAGACTCTGTCTCAAAAAAAAAAAAAAAAATGAAAAAATGGCAGAGTTTAACTGGTATATGACATTCCTCTAGGAGCATCTGACTGGTAAGGGAAAAGCGCCTCAAGTGAGCAAGTCTACAACTCCAGTAAACACACTGCGCATGCGGCCTCTCCCAAGTGCTGGAGGGCCACTATGCATGTGGACAGCCCACCCCAAGGGAAGAAACAAGAGAAGTAACCCAAGACCCAGGAAGTATAAAACCCCAAGTCAAAGGTCAAATGGACACTTGAATCTCTCAGGTTGCCTGCTTGGCCCTCTTCCAACTATATTTACTTCCTTTCGTTCTTGCTCTAAAACTTTTTAGTAAGTTTTCACTCCTGCTCTAAAATTTGCTTCGGTCTCTCCTCTGTCTTATGTGCCTCGGTCAAATTCTTTCTTCGGAGGAGGCAAGAACTGAGGTTGCTACAGACCCCTACAGATTCACCGCTGCTAACAGTATTGTGGCAAAAATGTTAGTCACAAAGGGGGAAAAAATCAGACCACCCTCATACCTCTACAAAGCTACATTCCATGCAAAAGACATTTCTATATGAGTGAAAAATCTCAGAGACTAGAATGCCCATAAGCCCTTCCAGAAAAATATATTTCCCAGTGAGACTGAACCACCAAGAAATGACAGGAGGCACCAGGGCAAAGGGCTGGCAGGGCTTTCACTGTCAGAAGACAACACAGGGGTCTATACAAGGTTCTGAAAAGAGAAAGTGGGATTTAAAAATTTTATACATGGGTTGCCCCTCAAATATGAAGCCACATTACCATGCACAATCTGAAGCAAGATACCTCTGAGCCCTCCTTAAAGCTATTACTTGAGAAAATCCAGCTACTGCAAAAAGAATCAAAATAAAACAGGAATAAAAAAGCTCACTCTAAGAGTGGTGATAAACACTGAATCCATTTACACATAGAACTAAGGCTATCCAAATAGCTGTGATAATTATGATACTGGCCAGGCGCGGTGGCTCATGCCTGTAAATCCCAGCACTTTGGGAGGTCGAGGTGGACGGATCACTTGAGGTCAGGAGTTCAAGACCAGCCAACATGGCGAAACCCCGTCTCTATTAAAAATACAACATTAGCAGGGCGTGGTGGTGGGCGCCTGTAATCCCAGCTACTCAAGAGGCTGAGGCAGGAGAATCGCTTGAACCTGGGAGGCAGAGGTTGCAATGAGCCGAGATAGTGCCACTGTACTCCAGGCTGGGCGACAGAGTGAGGCTCCATCTCAAAAAAAAAAAAAAAAAAAAAGATACTGGGTCCAGGCACGGTGGCTCATGCCTATAATCCAAGCACTTTGGGATGCCGAGGCAGGTCGGGAGCTTGAGGTCAGGAGTTTGAGACCAGCCTGGCCAACAACAGTGAAACCTGTTTCTACCAAAAATATAAAAAATTAGCTGGGTGTGGTGGTGGGCACCTGTAATCCCAGCTACTCAGGAGGCTGAGGCAGGAGAATCACTTGAACCTGGGAGGCAGAGGTTGCAGTGAGCCGAGATAGCACCATTGCACTCCAACCTGGGTGAAACTCCGTCTCAAAAAACAAAAAAGATACTGAAATATTTCAAGGTAGGAATAGGGTATAAATTTCCTTATCTACTATGGTAAGGAGCCAGATGCATACTATCTAAAACTGAAACACAGAAAGAATGTTATTTTCTGTTAATAGCAGAAGCACCTTTCAGAAACTTGGGCCTCTTAGGTAAAGAACCTATTACCAAAAGTCCAGGCCAGGCGTGGCAGCTCACGCCTGTAATCCCAGCACTTTGGGAGGCTGAGGTGGGCGGATCACAAGGTCAGGAGATCAACACCATCCTGGCTAACACAGTGAAACCCCGTCTCTACTAAAAATACAAAAAAAAATTAGCTGGGCTTGGTTGCGGGCGCCTGTAGTCCCAGCTCCTTGGGAGGCTGAGGCAGGAGAATGGCATGAACCCGGGAGGCGGAGCTTGCAGTGAGCTGAGATTATGCCACTGCACTCCAGCCTGGGCGACAGAGCAAGACTCCGTCTCAAGAAAAAAGAAGGAAAAAAAAAAAAATCCAGTAACTGCTTCACTTATACTTAACATTCCTTCTGTTAATTTGTACAAAAATTTGTTCTAAGACTTTTAATTACCATATTAGTGAATTTTCCTATTTTAGGAAAATTATTTTCGTCTAGCCATCCATACATTCATCTGACTTGCTATTTGTCTTTATGTCAAAAATGATTGTTGGAATAATGGTTATTAACATTGATAATAGTTTTAATTTCTGGCCAGGCATGGTTCATGCTTGTAATCACTTTGGGAGGCCAAGGCGGGAGGATCGCTTGAGTCTAGGAGTTCGAGACCAGCCTGGGCAACATGACGCAACCTTGTCTCTACAAAAAATACAAAAATTCCATCCTGGCCAACACAGTGAAACCCTATCACTACTAAAAATACAAAAACTAGCCGGGCGTGGTGGCGGGCACCTGTAATCCCAGCTACTAGGGAGGCTGAGGGAGGGGAATTGCTAGACCCCGGGAGCTGGAGGTTGCAGTGAGCCAAGAACGTGCCACTGCACTCCAGCCTGGGCGACAGAGAGAGACTCCATCTCAATAAATAAATCAATCAATAAATATTAAAAAAAAAAAAAAAAGACTGGCTGGATTATAAATTTCTTTTTTTTTTTTTGAGACAGAGTCTCCTCACTCTGTCGCCAGGCTGGAGTAGAGTGGTGCGATCTTGGCTCACTGCAACCTCTACCTCCTGGGTTCAAGCGATTCCCTGCCTCAACCTCCCAAGGAGCTGGGACTACAGGCACGTGCCACCACGCCCAGCTAATTTTTTATATTATAGTAGAGACAGGGTTTCACCACATTGGCCAGGATGGCCTCGATCTCCTGACCTTGTGATCCACCCGCCTTGGCCTCCCAAAGTGCTGGGATTACAGGCATGAGCCACCACACCTGGCCTAAATTTCTTAAAATAATTTTTTAATTCCCAAATTTTCTGTAATTTGCTTATGATATTTTATAAGTAAACAAAAGGTTTTTCATTTATTTAAAAATAATGCCAGAAATCCACAAACTCAAATTAATAAAGGGCTTCTCACCTAAATTAGCACTCTTGAGCATGCTGACCAGTGCTGGCATAAGCTGAAACTCAAATATCCTTTGGCCTCCACACTGGCTGCAGGCTGGGAGCTCGGTGACTTCTGATGTAGGGCAGGTCAAAAAGAGTGGCTCTCCACTCCAGGAATACCTAGGACAAGGAAACAAAGAACCCCGAATCAGAGCCACACAAGTCGCATTCTAGCATCTAAGGCCATGCTTTGCAACCTTTCTTTGTTTCTTGCAGAAATCTCCCAGAGGCCCAAAAACCTAGCACCATGGCTGTAAAGCATAGCAAGATATCTGGAAATCTTGTCAGTGTTCGATTCAAAGTCTCAAAGGCACTAAAGTCAATGTTCAACTGAATCTAGGTAAAGCTGCAACAAAGTCCAGACTCAGCTCCACTGCAGATTAAATGGAATCAGCCCTCCACATCACTGGCCTTACAGAGGAAAGGGCATGCCTTAGAGAAGAAGTCCCCAACCCCCAGGCCATGGACCCCCAGGCCATGGACCAGTACTGGTTGGTAGCCTATTAGGAATAGGGCCATGCAGCAGGAGGTGAGCAACAGCCAAGCGAGCATTACCACCTGATCTCCACCTCCCGTCGTATCAGCAGCATTAGATTCTCATAGGAGCGCAAATCCTATTGTGAACTGCACATGCAAGGGATCTAGGTTGTGTGCTCCTTCTGAGAATCTAAAGCCTTATGATCTGAGGTGAACAGTTTCATCCCAAAACCATGCCCCACATCCCCCACCTCAGTCTGTGAAAAAATTGCCTTCCATGAACCAGTCCCTGATGCCAAAAAGGTTGGGGACCTCTGCCTTAGAGGGAGGAAACATTCACTTCAGTTTTTGGGTTTTTTTTTTTTTTTTTTAGATAAAGCCTTTTTCTGTTGCCCAGGCTGGAGTGCAGTGGCACAATCACAGCTCACTGCAGCCTTGACCCCCTGGGCTCAAGCAATCCTCTTACCTCAGCCTCCTGAGTAGCTGGGAACACAGAGGCGCATCACCATACCCAGCTAGTTTTTAAAAAAAAAATTTGTAGAGACAGGGTCTTGCTATAATGCCCAGACTGGTCTCAAACTCCTGGCCTCAAGTGATCCTCCCACCTCAGCCTCCCAAAGTGCTGTGATTACAGGTGTGAGCCACCACATCCAGCTCACTTCAATATTACTGTTGTTCGATATGTAATTTCTGGTAAATCATTTTAAAAGTTACTAAACATGCAAAGAAGCAGGAAAATTTACCCCATAAAGAAAGTTAATGCAAGGAGACCCATGGACAAGATGATAAATTTATCAGACAAAAACTTTAAAATACCAGTAATGAATATGTAAAAAAAAAAAACCAAAAAAAAAACCTAGTGGACAAGGTAGGCCGGGTACCGTGGCTCAGGCCTGTAATCTCAGCACTTTGGGAGGCTGAGGCGGGTGAATCACTCGAGGACAGGAGTTCGAGATCAGCTTGGCCAACATGGTGAAACCCCATCTCCACTAAAACTACAAAAATTAGCCGGGCGTAGTGGCAGGTGCCTGTAATCCCAGCTGTGGGGGAGGCTGAGGCCGCGGCTGCAGAATCGCTTAAACCTGGGAGGCAGAGGTTGCAGTGAACTGAGATTGCTCCACTGCACTCCAGCCTGGATGATAGAGCAAGACTCTGTCTCGAATAATAATAATAATACAAAAATTAGCCAGACATAGTGTAATAATACAAAAATTAGCCAGACATAGTGGTGCACGCCTGTGGTCCCAGCTACTTTGGAGAGTGTGGCAGGAGGATCACTTGAGCTCAGGAGTCTGAGGCTGCGGTGAGCCATGACTGCACCACTGCATTCCAGCCTACGCAAGCAACAGAACAAGACCCAATCTCTTAAAAAAAAAAAAAAAAAAAAAGCAACATAAAGAGTTAAAAATAAAAGACAAAAAAGGAACAAAATAGTAAACTAAAAATACTCAAAGTCACTGACAAGCAGGTTAAATAAAAGGAATACAGAGACAAAAACAAAAAAACCCCACCAAATGGAAAGTCAGGTGTGGTGACAGATGCCTATAACCCTAGCACTTTGAGAAGCTGAGAGGCTGAGGTGAGGGAACTGCTTGAGTCCAGGAGTTCAAGACCAGCCTAGGCCACATAGTGAGACACCCATCTCTTTAAAAAAAAAAAAAAGGAAATGGAGGAAAAAACAATAACAGAATAAAATTAACCCAACATGGTGGGGTGCGGTGGCTCATGCCTGTAATCCCAGCATTTTGGGAGGCCAAGGCAGGCGGGTCACCTGAGGTCAAAAGTTTGATACCAGCCTGGCCAACATAGCGAAACCTGTCTCTACTACAAAAAATTAGCCAGGCATGGTGGTGCGCACCAGTAATCCCAGCTACTCAGGAGGCTGAGGCAGGAGAATCGTTGAACCTGGGAGGCAGAGGTTGCAGTGAGCCAAGATCGTGCCACTGCACTCCAGCCTGGGCAACAGAGCAAGACTCCGTCTCAAGAAAAAAAAAACAAAAAACAAAAAACAATTAACCCAACAATACCAATGATTACATTAAAGGGACTGCATATTCCGTGTTAAAAAAACCATAACTGTTAAGTTGAACTTGATCAAAATTTAAAGCCATCTGTCAGAATCTGTTTGAGTGCTAAAAAAAATTAAATTGAAAAAGGACTTGTACTCTTGACCATATGAAGAATTCCTACAACTCAGTAACACAAACAATATGGTGAGAGATTTGAATGACACATTATCCAAGATGATATACAGAGATGGAAAACAAGCACTTGAAATGATGCTCAACATCATTTGCCATTTGGGGAAATGCAAATTAAAGCCACAATAAAATGCCACTACACACCTTCTTAAATGGCTAAAATTAAAAACTGAACATCCCAAGCATTAGCAAAGATATACAGGAAGTAGAATTCTTAAAAACTGCTAGTGGGAATAGAAATGGCATAACCACTTTGGAAAACTGGCCTGTTTCTTAACAAGTTAAACATGCATATCCCATATAATACAACCGTTCTATTCCTAGGTATCTACCCCCCCAAAATCAGAACATGTCTTACAAAGAGATGTAAACAAATGTTCACAGCAGCTTTATTTATAATAGCCAAACACTGGAAATAACCCAAATATCCATCAACTGGTAAATGTATAGTGGCACATCCATACAATGGAATACGACACAGCGGTCAAAAGGAATGAACTATTGATACATGCAATAAGAATGAATCTTGAAGTATTCTAAGTGAATAAAACCAGACCAAAAAAAAAAAGTATATCCCATATGACCTTATATACTTTCACAGGAAATGCACTAAGGTGCAACAGAAAGATGATTGGCGGTTGCCTGGGGACTAGGGGAGCAGCACAGGACAGGGTAGGCAAGAACTTGCGAAGAAGTATGAGGAAACTCCTGGCAGAGAGGAATATGTTTACTGTCTTGACTGTTGTGATTTCAGGGGTGTATATGGATGTCAACTTATCAAAGTGCACACTGTAAAAATATACGCAGTCTGTTGTATGTCAATTGTATCTCAATAAAGCTGCTGAAAAATAAATGTAAACAGACACACTTCACTACAGAAGATACACAGATGTCAAATGAGTATATGGAAAGATGCACAACATCATTTGTTATTAGGAAAATGCAAATTCAAACCACAAGGAAATACCACCACCACCACCTACTAGAATGGCTACATTTAAAAGACTGACGATATTTTTAAAACCACCACCAGGCTAGGTTTCTCAATGTCAACTATTCTTATACTCCCTGTATTTTAGTATTTGCATATTTAGTTCTTATTTCATTAAGGAAAAATTCCCAATTTTATCTTTGAATAGTTTCTGATCCATCTATTGCGTTCTCTATTTTGGACACCAATTCTCCTCATAGTAAATATATTTATCAACCCTTCAAAGATACCATCTTCTCTCTGAATGCTTTCTCTTTTTCTTCTGCATTCACTGGATTAGCTCAAGTCTTTCCTCTATACCAGTACTTTGATCTTTAGCCAAGTCTATTATGTTCCTTAACTTTTTTTTTCTTTTTTTTTTTGAGACAAAGCCTTGCTCTCTCGCCCAGGCTGGAGTGCAATGGCGCAGTCTCGGTCGACTGCAACCTCCGCCTGCCAGGTTCAAGCAATTCTTCTGCCTCAGCCTCCCGAATAGCTGGGACTACAGGCACCCGCCACCACACCCAGCTAATTTTTGTATTTTTAGTAGAGACAGGGTTTCACCATATTGGCCAGGCTGATCTGGAACTCCTGACTTTGTGATCTGCCTGCCTTGGCCTCCCAAAGTGCTGGGATTACAGGCTTAAGCCACCACACCCGGCCAGTGTTCCTTATATTCTATATGTATTAGATATGTAATGTCATGGGGCTTGGTTTCTTTAGCAATTCAATTTCCGATTCATACATAGTTACTTTATTTTCTCACCTTTGAGCTCTTGTTTTATGGAATCCATTCTTATGAAGTTCTTATACATTTTGAAGCATCTGCTGGGACTGATGTGCTCCTTGGATTATATTTTATTTTATTTTATTTTTTGAGACAGAGTCTCACTCTGTCACCCAGGCTGGAGTGCAGTGGCACGATCTCGGCTGATTGCAACCTCCACCTCCCAGGTTCAAGCGATTCTCCTGCCTTAGTCTCCTGAACAGCTGGGACTATAGGCACCCACCACCACGCCCGGCTAATTTTTGTATTTTTAGTAGAGACAGGGTTTCACCATGTTGGCTGGAATGGTCTCGATCTACTGACCTCGTGATCCACCCGCCTCGGCCTCCCAAAGTGTTGGGATTACTGGCGTGAGCCACCGAGTCCAGCTGGATTATATTTTCTGGCAGACTTGGTTCTTGAGCCTTTTCTATGTTCTCTTCATTTCCTTAACTGTTCTTGCCACAGTATGATTACCTGGGTGGCATGCTATTTTTCATCTAGCTCACACCTAAAGGGGGCAACTCAGTTAAGACCATCTATTTGCTCTGAAATGTCTGCAGAGGTTCTCATTGATTTCCTGTCCATCTCATATGAGGCCTGTTTTCCTCTCTCTAAGAGTACTGTCCATTTCCTCTACATTTCTGTAGGTGGTAAAAGAGGAAACTGGGGTGAGGAGATAGTTCTTCTGGGACTGGATGCAATCTTTATTAGAATACCTGGGCTTTGCTTTTTCCTCTGAGACAGTGTAAAATGCTGTATGTTGAGAAAGATCCCACTCGAATGGAGGCGAAATTGCTCTTAACTTTCCAATCATTGCTCTGACTCATGGAACAAAGGAATGTTGCTTCTGAGAGGCAATCCCCGTCCTTTCCTACACCACCTCCCCACCACACCCAGTTCTTCAGCCAACAGCTGGGTCCACCATCCTCCACATTAGGAGATGCAAACTCTCCTCCTGTGTGCTTCCTTCCAGACATAATATTATTAACTGAAAATTCTTAGGCCGGGCATGGTGGCTCACACCTGCCATCCCAGCACTTTCAGAGGCTGAGGTGGGTGGATCACCAGAAGTCGGGAGTTCGAGACCATCCTGGCCAACATGGTGAAACCTCATCTCTAATAAAAATACAAAAATTAGCCGGGTATGTTGGCACATGCCTGTAGTCCCAGCTACTCAGGAGGCTGAGACAGGAGAATTGCTTGAACCCAGAAAATGGAGGTTGCAGTGAGCTGAGATCGTACCATTGCTCTCCAGCCTGGGGGACAGAGACAGATTCCGTTTCCGAAAAAAGAAAATTCTTTGTGGACTCATCAGTATATTTTAGGCAGGTGAGAGAAAAGGCCTGTGGAATTAGAACTTGCACTTAACCATGCCGGAAATTTCTGTACCTTTCTCTGCAAAGATAACTTAGTTACATAAGTGAATAAATATATATGTTAAACACTCAAGAACTCTACTAGACATTTATGGATATTATATCCTGGGCTATCACTTTGAGTTTTATGGTACTAAGCCCTTTTCCTTTGTTCAGTGCTGATACAAGGGAATTTCTTTTTTAATATTTATTTTATTTGGCCTGATTTTTAGCTTTTAGATTCACTGTGGTAGGTATCGGGGAAAAAGACCATTTGAGCTAATTCTGCCCACTTTGTCTGGACCTGTTTTTACTATGTGGCTATTTTTATAAATTATACCTGCTGGGTATGTCATTTCCTCTGAGGCCTTTCTGATAGCCTACCTAAAATAGCTCTATTTTTTCCTCATTTATCACTTATGGGAATCATACAGGTTTGTTTTTAATCTCCCCCACTAGTCACAGTGGCTCAAGCCTGTAACTCCAGCACTTTGGGAGGCTGAAGCGGGCAGATCATTTGAAGTCAGGAGTTCGATACCAGCCTGACCAACATGGTAAAACTCCGTCTCCACTAAAAATACAAAAAGTAGTCAGGCGTGGTGGCGCTGTAATCCTAGATACTCGGGAGGCTGAGGCAGGAGACTCTTAAACTTGGGAGGCGGAGATTGCAGTGAGCCAGGATCACGTCACTGCACTCCAGCCTGGGTGGCAGGGCGAGACTCCATCCCAGAAAAATAAAAATAAATTAAAAAATAAAAATAAATATATGGGCCAAGGGTCGTGGCTGATGCCGGTAATCCCATCACTTTGGAAGGCCGTGGCAGGAGGATCACTTGAGGCCAGGAGTTTGAGAGCAGACTGGGCAACATGATCAGATCCCATCTCTACAAAATACATTTTTTAAAAATTAGCCAAACATGGTGGCACACTCCTGTAGTTCTAGCTACTTGGGAGGATCGATTGAGCCCAAGAGGTAGTTGTTACAGTGAGCAATGATCACGCCACTGCACTCCAGGGTGGACAACAGACTGAGACCCTCTCTCTAAAAAAATATTTTTTTAATAATAATAATAGTCCAGGCACAGTGGCTCATGCCTGTAATCCTAGAACAAACTCTGGGAAGCCAAGGCAGGTGGATGGCTTGAACCCAGAAGTTTGGAACCAGCCTGGCCAACATGGTGAAATACCATTTCTAAAAAAATATACAAAAATTAGTTGGGCATGGTGGTACATGCCTGTAGTCCCAGCTACTTGGGAGGCTGAAGTGGGAGGATCACTTGAGCCCAGGAGGTCAAGGTGCACTGAGCTATGATTGATCACACCACTGCACTCCAGCCTGAGCAACAGAGCAAGACCCTGCCCCCAAAAAAAAAAAAAAAAAAAAAAAAAAAAGCCAGGCATGGTGGCTCACACTTGTATCTCAGAACTTTGGGAGGCTGAGGTGGGCAGATTACGTGAGGCCAGCAGTTCGAGACCAGTCTGGCCAACATGGTGAAACCCCATCTCTACTAAAATACAAAAAAATCAGCTGGGCAGGGTGGCGGGCACCTGTAATCCCAGCTACTTGGGAGGCTGAGGCAGGAGAATGGCTTAAACCCAAGAGGTGGAGGTTGCATTGAGCCAAGATCACGCCACTACACTCCAGCCTGGGCGACAGAGCGCGACTCCCTCTCAAAGAAAAAAAAAAATTAAATAATAATAATAATAAAGGCTATGAGAACATGGACTTCATCTGTGCCGTTTCTTGCTATATCTGCAGCACCTACAAATACCAGCAACTGGCATGCAGAATAGACTTCGTAAGTATTTGTTAGACAAGTGAGTGCACTTTACCTTACTGAATCCTCCTACACATCCTATAAAGTAGGTATTAGGTCCTATAAAGCAGGTATTAGGTTCTCTCTTGGTTTGGGGAATACTGTAGGTTTTGCTTTTCTCATATTTTCCTGTGTTTTCCAAACTAATATGTATTCCTTTATAATCAAGGAAAACAATAAAAGGAACTGTGCCTTTTTTTACCTCAAAATCTGCTCCTGACAAGCAGCAATTCGCTTCATGAATTTGTAAAACGTCTGATCTCCACTTTTAATTATGGTCTTCTCATATTTTTCATCACCATCATTAGGAAGGCTAAAAACAGAAGCAGAAAACACTTTTGAATGTCTATATCCAGAAAATTACAGCATTTGCAAGACAAAACAAGATAATTTTCTTTTAAAAAATTTTATCAGGCCAGGCGCAGTGGCTCACGCCTGTAATCTCAGCACTTTGGGAGGCCGAGGCAGGCAGATCACAAGGTCAGGAGATCGAGACCATCCTGGCCAACATGGTGAAACCCCATCTCTACTAAAAAATGCAAAAAATTGGCTGGGCATGGTGGCTTGCGCCTATAGTCCCAGCTACTCAGCAGGCTGAGGCAGAGGAAATCGCTTGAACCCGGGAAGCGGAAGTTGCAGTGAGCCGAGATCGTGCCATGCCACTACACTCCAGCCTGGTGACAGAATGAGACTCCATCTCAAAAAAAAAAAAAAAAAAAAATCAATCACGCCTTTAATCCCAGCACTTTGGGAGGCCGAGGTGAGCAGATCACCTGAGGTCAGGAGCTTGAAACCAGCCTGGCCAACATCTTGAAACCCCATCTCTAATAAAAGTACAAAAAATTAGCCAGGCGTGGTGGCGGGCGCCTGTAATCCCAGCTCCTTGGGAGGCTGAGGCAGGAGAATCACTTGAACCCAGGAGATGGAGGTTGCAGTGAGCCAAGATTGCGCTATTGCACTCCAGCCTGGGCAAGAAGAGTGAAACTCCGTCTCAAAAAAAAATTTCTCAGGCCGGTGCAGTGGGCTCACGCCTGTAATCCCAGCACTTTGGGAGGCCGAGGCAGGCGGATCACTTGAGCTCAGGAGTTCAAAACCATCCTGGGCAATCTGGCAGAACCTTGTCTCTACAAAAAAATACAAAAATTAGCTGGGCATGGTGGCATGCACCTGTGGTCCCGGCTATTCCAGAGGCAAGGCTGTGGTGAGCCGTGAGCACACCATTGCACTACAGCCTGGATAACAGTGTGAGACCCTGTCTCAAAAAGAAAAAAAAAAAAAAACTGTCAAAGTTAAAAAACTGTAAAACTGTCAAGTAATTTTTTTTTTTTTTTTGAGAGGGAGTCTCCCTCTGTCACCCAGGCTGGAGTGCAATGGTGCAATCTTGGCTCACTGCAACCTCCACCTCCTGGGTTCAAGCAATTCTCCTGCCTCAGCCTCCTGAGTAGCTGGGATTGCAAGTGTGCGCCAACACGTCCAGCTAATTTTTGTATTTTTAGTAAAGACAAGGTTTCACCACGTCGGCCAGGCTGGTCTCCAACTCCTGACCTCAAGTGATCCATCTCGGCCTCCCAAAGTGCTGGAATTATAGGAGTGAGCCACCGCACTCAGCCAAAAACTGTCAAGTAAATATTTTTGATATTTAAATTGTGTACATGTAGCTCTGCAGTTCCCTGCCCAACCCTTCTCCCAAGCCATTTTCAACTCTTGAGTAATTATTTACAATTTAAAAAGTCGCAGGGCACAGTGGCTCACACCTGTAATCTCAACACTTTGGAAGGCCGAGGCAGGTGGATCACGAGGTCAAAAGATCGAGACCATCCTGGCCAACATGGTGAAACCCTGTCTCTACTAAAAATACAAAAATTAGCTGGGCATGATGGTATGCACTTGTAATCCTAGCTATTCAGGAGGCTAAGGGAGGAGAATTGCTTAAACCTGGGAGGTGGAGGTTGCAATGAGCTGAGATTGAGCCACTGTACTCCAGCCTGGCAACAGAGCGAGATTCTGTCTCAAATATATATATTTTCATATATATTTTTTAATATATATATTTTATTATTTATTTTATATATATATATATATATATATGTATTTTTCATCTGGGTGCGGTGGCTCACGCCTGCAATCCCAGCACTTTGGGAGGCCAAGGAGAGTGGGTCACTTGAGGTTAGGAGTTTGAGACCAGCCTGGCCAACATGGTGAAGCCCCATCTCTACTAAAAATACAAAAATTAACCGGGTGTGGTGGCGGGTACCTGTAATCCCAGCTACTTGGGAGGCTGAGGCAGGAGGATCATTTGAAACTGGGAGCTGGAGGTTGCAGTGAGCCATTATCACACCGCTGTACTCCAGCCTGGGTGACAAAGTGAGACTCTGTCTCAAAAAAACCAAAAATTTTTTTAATTAGCTGAGTTTGGTGGCACACACCTGTAGTCCCAGCTATGGGGAAAGCTGAGGCCAGAGGATCCCCTGAGGCCAGGAGTTTGAGGCTGCAGTAAACCATGAGCAGGCTGGGCGTGGTGGCTAATACCTGTAATCCCGGCACTTTGGGAGGTCGAGGTGGGCGGATCACGTGGGGCCAGAACTCCAAGAAGAGCCCGGCCAGTATGGCAAAAGCCCATCTCTACTAAAAAGAAAATACAAAAATTAGCTGGGTGAAGTGGCGCACGCCTATGGTCCCAGCTACTCGGGAGGCTGAGACATGAGAGCTGCTTAAGCCGGCGAGGGAGAGGTTGCAGTGAGCCGAGAACGTGCCACTGCACTCCAACCTGGGCAACAGAGCAAGACTGTCTCAAAAAAAAAAAAAAAAAGGCCATAACCACACCACACCACTGCAGTTCAGCCTGGGAAACAAAGCAAGATCCCATCTCTAAAAAAAAAAAAAAAAAAAAGAAGAATACTCTAGTCTGAAGAAACCCACCAAAAATAAGCAAATACATAAAAACTTAAGAAATTAAAAAATAAAAAATCCTGCCGGGCGCGGTGGCTCACACCTGTAATCCCGGCACTTTGGGAGGCCAAGGCAGGTGGATCACGAGGTCAAGAGATTGAGACTATCCTGGTCAACATGGTGAAACCCCGTCTCTACTAATAATACAAAAATTAGCTGGGTGTGGTGGCGCGCACCTGTAGTCCCAGCTACTTGGGAGGCTGAGGCAAGAAAATTGCTTGAACCCAGGAAGGGGAGGTTGCAGTGAGCCGAGATCGCACCACTGCACTCCAGCCTGGCAAGAGAGCCCATATCACACACACACAAAAATAAATAAATAAATAAATAAATAAATAAATAAATAAATATAAAATAAAAAGTCCTTATAACCATCAATTCTATTAAGGATTATTTTCAAACACCAACATGTCTTCATGCATTCCCCTTCATCATTATTCTGAAAAAGCCTACAAATGAAACAGTTCTGGTAAAGAACCAGGCCATTTCTCCAAATATTCTATTGTAATTTTTTTATTCTAATAGTAAAAAATGCTGGGTGCAGTGGCTAAAACAAATTTTTAGGCCAGGCACAATGGCTCACGCCTGTAATCCCAGCACTTTGGGAGGCTGAGGTGGGTGGATCACCTGAGGTCAGGAGTTCGAGACCAGCCTGACCAACATAGTGAAACCCCATCTCTACTAAAAATACAAAAATTAGCTGGGCATGGTGGCACATGGCTATAATCCCAGCTACTTGGGAGGCTGAGGTAGGAGAACTGCTTAAACCTGAGAGGTGGAGGTTGCAGTGAGCCGAGATCGTGCCATTGCACTCCAGCCTGGGTAACAACAGCGAAACTCAAAAAATTTTAATTGGTCAGACATGGTGGTGTGCACCTGTACTCCCAGCTACTTGGGAAACTAAGATAGATTGCCTGAGCCCAGGAGTTCAAGGCTGCATGAGCTTTGATCACACCAATTCACTCCAGCGTGGGTGACAGAGTGAGACCCTGTCTCTCTCAGTCAATCAATAAGCAAAAATGATCATTCTTACCTCTTTAGAGAGCTTTGGTTTATAAAGCCTTTCAAGATCTACCCTCTCGCTTAACTCTCAAAAAATCATGGGATGAAACAGAGAACAGAGATATCACCATCACTCTCATTTTACAGAATTGAGGATCTGAAAGCATCTCTGAGGTCCTGGGCCAGTTCTGGAGCCACAGCCAAGAGTCAATAAACAAATGGCGTTTTTCTTTTCCTTTTTCCATTTTTTCACCCCAATCTTATTATCCCAGATCAAATGGTAGTTTTCTAACTTGCCTGTCTCTGCTATAAAGACATATTAGAAACATAAAAGAAAATTTAAGAGTCAGTGAACGCGTCTTCTATAAATACTTGCCATCTCTAACTTCTGTTTGTTCATCTTCACTTTCTTAACGGCAATTATAAATAGAGCAGGGTTTTCAAGCTAACTCAAGTTGGCTGATAAGGAAGTGAAGCAAAAAGGTCCTACATACAAGTTCTGCCTGAAAGTTTCCCCAGGTCCTGTGGTGAAACTGAAGGGTAACTCTTGTGGCTGCTTCCCAATCCAGTCACCTCTCAACCTCAGCAGCACACATCCTCACCTTTGGGAAAGCAACTGATCCATGGCAATGCCTTCTCTCTGCTGATAGTCCCTCAGAAGGCTGTGGGCATGATCCAGGTTGACAAAGTCCCTGTAATCATCCTCATCTGCAACACAGATGTAGTAGGGCAGGAAGAGCGGCAGCCCAGGAGGCACAGGATGGGCAGCACCCAGGACAGCATCCTGCAGGCGGAGGTCTTGGAGCCGAGCAGTCCAGTCTACGTCTTTGGCACTGCTGGCATCATTCCCAAAATCCAAGGTAAACTGTGGTGAAGGCCCCTCCTCAGTATCACTTCCCCAGTCATCAGCACCTTCACACCAGTCCTCAGCTGCAAGGCTGTTTCCCTGTTTCTGGAAAAATACTCAGTGAATGAGGTCCGAGCACATTTGGGAGGTTTATTCTAATCCTTCGGCTCCAGCCACCCACCGCCGCGCCTTCCAGAGGGAGCCTTCACACCATCCCCTTCCCCTCTGGTACACTCCAATCAAACTTTCTAGACCCTATGTACTCAAAAGCACGTTGGAGGTGACTTAAAATACTTGTCTTTCCTTTTTGGGGTGAGTGTGACAGATATAGTACAGGGGTTATTCAACCATCCGTTCCAATATCTTTCTGTTGTGCTTCATGTATTGCAGGAACTGAAAAGAAAGAACTACCTTTCCCAGACCCCTTAGCAGCTAGGGTTTCAGATATGATTAGGGGTCTGCTAATCAGGTCTACTAGAGAGAAACATGAACTTGAGACAGAGTGAAGTAGAAAGAAAGACCACATAGCAAAAGGTAGCCATTGTGTAGACACAGACAGAACAAGGCTTTGGAGCCAACGGTTCGGTGGCAAAGACAGCCTCTAGTTCACCAGATCACACCTAAGCTTCCTGACAGCAGGAGAGGTGGCATAGCAGCTCCTTCACGGCCAGTTCTGAGGTGTGATTCTGGAGGGCATTCCTGGAGCCTCCTCCTTCAGCCTATCCACTTACTAAAAACCTCACTCCTGTGTTAAGTCTGTCTCAGCTTAAAAGCCAGGCATGGTGGCACGTGCCCGTAATCCAGCTACTCAGGAGGCTGAGGCAGGAGAATCGCTTGAACCCGGGAGGCGGAGGTTGCAGTGAGCCAAGATCACACCACTGCACTCCAGCCTGGGTGACAGAGCGACACTCGGTCTCAAAAAAAAAAAGAAAAAGCAACAGCACTTTTCTAATTATCTGCACCTGAACCCTGACAAATATAGGCAAACACCACTGTCTTCAACTTTTTATTTAAGTACTGCTAATACTATGCCTAGCAAACATCAAGAACTGGGTGCAGGCCGGGCCCAGTGTCTCACGCCTGTAATCCCAGCATTTTGGGAGGTTGAGGTGGGCGGACTGTTTGAGTCCAGGAGTTCAAGAACAGCCTGGGCAACATGACAAAATCCCATCTATACAAAAAATATGAAAATCAGCTGGGCATGGTGGCACGTGCCTGTAATCCCATCTACTCAGGAGGCTGACGTGGGAGAATGGCTTGGGCCCAAGAGGCAGAGATCATGCCACTGCACTCCAGCCTGGGTGACCAGAATGCAACCCCATCTCAAAAAACAAACAAACAAACAAACAAACTCAGTGTATATATAAAGACACATTTACAGTCAAAGGGAGGCTAAATTGTGTTCTGCAGCTACCAACTTGCCTGCCTTTTCAATAAATTCAGATTTCATCTTATGAAATGTGTTAATACATATATAGCTCTCATAAAGTATATTTACTATAAAGACACGTATACATTATCACATACAACCACATATATGTACACACCCATATATATTCCCAAACAGGAAAATCAGTAAACTGTGTGTCTCAAGACCTTCAGTGTAAGTTTAAAAAAACTACTATATATACAATGGAATATTTTTCACCCTTAAAAAAAAAAAGGAAATTCTGTCATTTGTGACAACATGGATGGAACTGGAGAACATTTTGCTAAGGGAAATAAGCCAGACACAAAGACAAATGCTGCATGTATTCACTTATATGTGGAATCTAAAACAACCTCAAAGAAGTAGAGAGTAGAGTGGTGGTTAAAGAAATCTGGAGTGGCCAGGTGTGGTGGCTCACGCCTGTAATCCCAGCACCTCAGGAAGCCAAGGCGGGTGGATCACGAGGTAAAGAGATCGACACCATCCTGGCTACACGGTGAAACCCCATCTCTACTAAAAATACAAAAATTAGCTGGGCATGGTGGTGTGTGCCTGTAGTCCCAGGTACTCAGGAGGCTGAGGCAGGAGAATTGCTCGAACCTGGGAGGCGGAGGCTACAGTGAGCCAAGATTGTGCTACTGCACTCCGGCCTGGCAACAAAGCGAAACTCCATCTCAAAGAAAAAAAAAAATCTGGAGTGAGCCGGGCATGGTGGCTCACGCCTGTAATCCCAGCACTTTGGGAGGCCGAGGCGGGTGGGTTGCCTGAGGTCAGGAGTTCAAGACCAGCCTGGCCAACATGGTGAAACCCTTTCTCTACTAAAAATATAAAAATTAGCTGGGCGTGGTGGCGAGTGCCTGTAATCCCAGCTACTAGGGAGGCTGAGGCAGGCAGGATAAGCGCTTGCATCCGGGAGGTGGAGGTTGCAGTGAGCTGAGATTGTGCCATTGCACTCCAGCATGGGCAATAAGAGCGAAACTCGGTCTCAAAAAAAAAAAAAAAAAAAAAAGGAAGAAAGAAACCTGGAGCGGGAAGAATAAGGAGATGACGGTCAAAGAATACAAAACCTCAGTTATTCAGGAGGAATGTGGGTTTTTTTTAAGTTCTACTGCACAGCATGAATATAGTTAATAATAGAGTATTGTGGCTGGGCACAGGGGCTCAAGCCTGTAATCCCAGCACTTTGGGAGGCCGAGGTGGGTGGATGACAAGGTCACGAGATCAATACCATCCTGGCTAACATGGTGAAACCCTGTCTCTACTAAAAATTTAAAAAAATGAAAAAATTAGCTGGCCGTGGTGGCGGGCGCCTGTGGTCCCAGCTACTCTGGAGGCTGAGGCAGAATGGTGTGAACCCAGGAGGTGGAGCTTGCAGTGAGCAGAGACGGCGCCACTGCACTCCAGCCTGGGCAACAGAGCAAGACTCCGTCTCAAAAAAAAAAAAAAATAAGAGTATTGTGTATCTCCAAATTGCTAGAGGAAATTTCAAATGTTCTCACAAGATGTTAAGTATTTGAGGTGATGAATGCATTAACTAGCTTCATTTAATTATTCCACATGATATTCATGAATCATAGCCATCACTTTATACCTCATAAATTTATACATTATTATAAACTGTCAATTTACAGTTAAAAAAAAAAGTTGAAGAAATCCAGGAGGAAGTCTCCATCTCCCTTTTGTTTTTTTGGCAGGGGACAGGGTCTGGCTTTGTGGCCCAGGCCGGAGTGCAGTGGCACAAGTGTAGGTCACTGCAGCCTCAACCTCCTAGACTCAAGCAATCCTCCTACCTCAGCCTCCTGAGTAGCTGGCACTACAGTTGCGTGGCCATCATGCCTGGCTAATTTGTTTACTTTTTATAGAGACGATGTTTTGCTATGTTGCCCAGACTGCTCTCCCAACGTTTTTTTTTTCTTTTGTTTTGTTTTGTTTTGTTTTTACGGAGTCTGTCACCCACGCTGGAGTGCAGTGGCATGATCTCAGCTCACTGCAATCTCTGTCTCCCGGGTTCAAGCGATTCTCCTGCCTCAACCTCCCTTGTAGCTGGGATTACAGGTGTCTGCCACCATGCCCGGCTAATTTTTTGTTTTTGTTTTTAATAGAGACGGGGTTTCGCCATGTTGGCCAGGCTGGTCTCGAACTTCTGACCTCAGGAGATCCGCCCGCCTCGGCCTCCCAAAGTGCTGGGATTACAGGCGTAAGCCACCGCGCCCAGCCTGGTCTCCAACTTCTGAGCTCAAGCAATCCTCCCACTTCAGCCTCTCAAAAAACGGTGGGATCACAGGCGTGAGCCACCATGCTGGGCCTCCATCTCCTTTTAACAAAGGAGTTAGAAAATAAAAATAAAGTAAAATAGAAGAAAAAAAAAACTCTCACAAAACCTTAAGAAAGGCCGGGCGCGGTGGCTCATGCCTGTAATCCCAGCACTTTGGGAGGCCGAGGCGGGTGGATCACCTGAGGTCGGCAGTTCGAGACCAGCCTGACCACCATGGCGAAACCCCGTCTCTATTAAAAATACAAAATTAGCCGGGCGTGGTGGCATATGCCTGTAATCCCAGCTACTAGGGAGGCTGAGGCAGGAGAATCGCTTGAACCTGGGAGGCGGAGGTTGCGGTGAGCCGAGATCGCGCCATTGCACTCCAGCCTGGGCGACAGAGCGAAACTCCGTCTCAAAAAAAAAAAAAAAAAAAAAACTTTACGAAAATAGCATTTTATGGTTCTTCAGAAAAGCAAAAAACACTCCAGTGTACTTCAAAGAACACGGCTTTAAAGTCTGCCCCAAACTATTCTCTGGAAAATATCCTCAAATGACAGAAAAACAATAACATGCCAATCACAACCTTTACCTGAGCGTCCTGCGCCTCTCTCTCTGGCACCTGCAGGCACTGGGAGCGGAACACCTTCCAGCTTCGGGGTGAAGACAAAGGGCCGTGAGGGCTGCACCCCGACTCCAGCCCGCCGGCCCGCCCCAGCCCGCTGGAAAGGACACCCCTGGAGCAGCTCTGGGACTTCCCCGCCTACCTGCGCGCACCGCCGGTGCTACAGCCGGGGCAGGCGCACGCGAACACGTGCAGCAGACGGTGAAACGGGGAGCCTTCCAGCGGGCAATACACCTGCACGACCAGAGCGAGCGGCTGCCCGCAGCGCTGACACACGGGCCTGGGCGCAGCCACGGTGGGCAGAGCATCCTGAGGGGACAGAGGAGGCGCTCAGACCCCGACTCCCCCCAGGACCTCGCCCACTCCCTCCGCACCCTTCAGCAGCACCCATCGACCCCAGCTCCGGCACCCGCCCTCACCGGAATGCCGCCCAGCTTGCTAGCAGTCCAGGCACCCGGCCCTGTGGGGCTGCCGTGCACCGGCGCATCTCGAAGGCCCAGCAGCACCGGCTTCAGAACGGCCGCCATGGCCGCCGGGCGACCAGGTGAAAACGCAAACTACGGCGGCCTCTCTGCGCACGCGCAACGCTACGCTAAAATGATAACCCCGCTCCCTTACTAGGATCCGATGCGGAGGCGTGGCTTTAAGGCGCGTGCGCTCAGGTCCCAGAGCCACAGAGGCGCCGCTGGCGTCAGGGGCTCGAAATCCCGGAGTCCCAGGCATTATGTGCCCCTTAATGCGCTGTGATAGGAAGTACACACCATCTACTAGGAAGTAGTTTTGCCAAAAAGCTAACTTTCTTTTTTCCTTTTTTTCCTGAGACGAGGACTTGCTATATTGCCCACACTGGTCTTGAACTCCTGGGTTCAAGCGATCCTCCCGCCTCCGCCTCCCAAAGTGTTGCGATTACAGGTGTGAGCCACCAGAAAAAAGCCTTCCCGGAAAATAAAAATTTTAGGTGGGATAATGGTATTATCAGTCATTAACAAGAACAATAAAGTTTTTTAAAAAGTTAAAGTTTTTAATTTTTAGAGAAACACATCAAAATGCTTATAGATGAAATACCTCCGATTTGCTACTACATAATTAAGGTGGTGGGGTGTAAATACAGTAAGATTGACCATGAGTTGATAATTGTTGAAATTTGGTGCCAGGCACATGGAGATTTATTCTATTTGGGTTTTATATGTTTGAGATTTTTCAGTTTTTATTTTTGTTTTGTTTTGTTTTGTTTTTGAGACAGAGTCTTGCTGGGTCGCCCAGGCTGAAGTGCAGTGGCGCCATCTCACTGCATCTCAGCCTCCCAGGTTCAAGTGATTCTCCTGCCTCAGCCCCACCCAGTAGCTGGGGTTACAGACGCCCACCACCACGCCCGGCGCCCGGCTTTTTTTTTTTTTTTTTTTTTAGACGGAGTTTCGCTCTTGTCGCCCAGGCTGGAGTGCACTGGCGTGATCCCAGCTCACTGCAACCTCTGCCTCCCAGGTTCAAGCGATTCTTCTGCCTTAGCCTCCCGAGTAGCTGAGATTACAGGCATGTGCCACCATGCCTGGCTAATTTTGTATTTTTAATAGAGATGGGGTTTCTCCATGTTGGTCAGGCTGGTCTCGAACTCCCAACCTCAGGTGATCCGCCCACCTTGGCCTCCCAAAGTGCTGGGATTACAGGCGTGAGCCACCATGCCCGGCCTTTTTTGTATTTTTAGTAGAGACGGGGTTTCACCATGTTGGCCAGGCTGGTTTCGAGCTCCTGAAATCAAGTGATCTGCCCACCTCGGCCTCCCAAAGTGTTAGTATTACAGGTGTGAGCCACCGCGCCCAGCCACACAATACAGTTTTTTCAATTCCTGCAGCACAACATGGGTGAATTTCAAAAGCATCATGGGAAGAAGCCAGACACAAAAGGCGCCATTCTGGTAAACGCAGAACTTCGGAGGGAAAAAAATCAGTTCAATGGTAGTCAGGAGTTGGGATGAGGGAGTAGGACTGGACCACAAGTGTCAGGAACTTTTGAGGGTGAGGAAAATGCTGTATATCTCATCTGTAATGGTTCTAAGACTGTATATACACTTGTGAAAACTCATAACTGTATACCAAAGAAAGGTGAATCTTACTATATGTAAATCACACCCCAATAAACCTGACTTTTTAAAAATGCAGGCTGCAAAAACATTATTTTAGGATTCATAACGTGGTATGCAAAAGAAATGAATGTTTTCAAGGATTTACACCTCAAAGGAGGAAGCACCAGCCTTTGTGAGGTTTGGCTCTAGCCCAGCAAGGATCTGGAGATGAAACCCATTTACTCCTTTTTTTACCACACTTCATCCTGATAGCTTTAAAAGGCCCTGTGATGCTGGGCACAGTGGCTTGCGCCTGTAATCCCAACACTTTCGGAGGCCAAGGCAGGAGGATCTCTTAAGCCCAGGAGTTGAAGATAAGCCTGGGCAACACAGTAGTATTACCAGGGGAGGATCTTGACTACAAGTCGTCCAGGTTCTTGGAATATTGAACAAAGAGGTGGACAAAACACACAAAGCAACAAAAGAAGGAACAAAAGCACAGATTTATTGAAGCAAAAGTACATTCCAGAAAGCGGGATGAGGCTCAAGCAAGTGCCCTGTGTAGAAAATCTGGGGTTTAAGTACCCTTTAGAGGTTTCCTATTTGGTTACACCCTATGTAAATAAAGACTTGGCCTGCCACCAGTCAGAGGCTGAAGTGAATGCTCCTTTGTCTCCAGACCCTATTCTCTGGCCTCAGTGGGATCCTATCACTACAAAAATTTATTTTTTATTTTTCTTATTTTTTTTTTTTTACAACAGTACACTGATCTACAAAAATTTTAAAATGAGCCGGGCGCGGTGACTCACGCCTGTAATCCCAGCACTTTGGGAGGCCAAAGCAGGCGGATCATGAGGTCAGGAGATCAAGACCATCCTGGCTAACACGGTGAAACCCCGTCTCTACTAAAAATACAAAAAATTAGCCGGGTGTGGTGGCGGGCACCTGTAGTCCCAGCTACTCGGGAGGCTGAGGCAGGAGAATGGCGTGAAGCCGGGAGGTGGAGCTTGCAGTGAGCCGAGATCACACCACTGCACTCCAGCCTGGGCAACAAAGCAAGACTCTCAAAAAAGAAAAAAATTTTTTTTTAAATGAGCTGGGTGTACTGGCATGCATCTGCGGACCCAGCTACTTGGAAGGCTGAGGTGAGAAGATCACCTTAGCCTGGGAATTTGAGGCTTCAGTCAGCTATGATTGTATCACTGCAGTCCAGCCTGGGCAACAAAGACCCTGTCTCTAAGAAAAAAAAATTTTGAATAGGCTGGGTGTGGCGGCTCACGCCTGTAATCCCAGCACTGTGGGAGGCTGAGGTGGGAGATCTCTTGAGCCCTGGAATTCAAGACCAGTCTAGTCTGGGAAACACAGCAAGACCCGCCTTGCTGGGCGCGGTGGCTCACGCCTGTAATCCCAGCACTTTGGGAGGCTGAGGCGGGCGGATCACGAGGTCAGGAGATCGAGACCATCCTGACTAACACAGTGAGACACTGTCTCTGCTAAAAAAATATATAAAAAATTAGCTGGGCATGGTGGCAGGTGCCTGTACTCCCAGCTACACAGGAGTCTGAGGCAGGAGAATGGCGTGAACCTGGGAGGCGGAGCTTGCAATGAGCTGAGACCGTGCTACTGCACTCCAGCTTGGGCGACAGAGCGAGACTCCGTCTCAAAAAAAAAAAAGACCCGTCTCTCTACAAAAAATGAAAAAACTAGCAGGGCATAGTGGTACAACCTGTAGTCTCAACTACTTGGGAGGCTGAGGCAAGAGGATTACTGGCTGCAGTGAGCTGTGATCATGCCACTGCACTCCAGTCTGGGCAATGGAACAAGACCCTGTCTCAAAAAAAAAAAAAAGTTGTCAAAAAAAAAAAAAAAATGGGCCGGGCGTGGTGGCTCATACCTGTAATCCCAGCACTGTGGGAGGCTGAGGCGGGCAGATCACCTGAGGTCAGGAGTTCAAGACCAGCCTGCCCAACATGGTAAAACCCCTTCACTACTAAAAATACAAAAATTAGCTGGGTATGGTGGTGTGCGCCGTGTAATCCCAGCTACTCGGGAGGCTGAGGCAGGAGAATAGCTTGAACCCGGGAGGCGGAGGTTGCAGTGAGCCGAGATTGCACCACTGCACTCCAGTCTGGGTGACAGAGCGAGACTCAAAAAAAAAAAATTCCAGTTTTCAATATCTGCCTTTTAAAGCAAAAGAACTACCTGAGCGTCTTGCCAGGAGATGGCAGTCATCCTCGGTCTTGTCCAGGAATTCACCCGAAACAAACATAATCTCAATGCAGTTTTTAGAACCATCGAGTGAACAGAGTATCCAATTTCTCCAGTCACAGAGGTGAGGAGTGGAAAACAGTCTTGGGATTTGGTGACACAGGCCAAGTTGCCGTCCTGACTGATTGTGCCCCCACCCCACTATTGTCTTCTCAGGGCACCTTGCTCCACTCTAGACCCGCTCACCACTTAGTGTTAAGTGTCCGCAGAGGCACAGCCTGCGTCCTGCTGAGCGCTCCTGCCCTCTGCTACATAAAGCACCATCACAGGAAAAAAAAAATCAGAGGCTGAGCCTACAACCTCCTCCGTGGCATCTTTATTTTTCTACATGGGATGTGAACAACGTGAACATGGGTCAGAAAAGTCAGCTGCACAAAAACACTTCAGCCAATTCTAACACAGAGGGAGCATAGACATGGAGGGGCTGGGGGTTAGGCTGGGGGAGACCAGCCTTCCCTGCTAAGGGCTCGTGGTCCAAGCCCACAACCAGAGGGTGCTCTGGGTGGTGTCCAGGAACATGCAGTGCCGGCTCCGGGGAGGAGGGACGAGAAGAGAAAGGGGAGTCACAGAGGAGGCTGCAGATGAGCACGAGTTTATTGGACTCTGGCCTCGCGCTGCTGCTTGATGAAGTTGATGAGCCCATTGGTAGAAGCGTCGTGAGAGGTCACTTGAGCACTGCCATCAAGCTCAGGCTCTATTTTCTTAGCCAGCTGCTTTCCCAGCTCCACTCTGCCAAGAAGGGAAGGGAAGGGAAGAGTGGTATGAGGAAGGCTCTAACGTTGCTACTGAAATCCCTGAGCCGACACAAAGGTATTCCCGGCCCTCCCCTAAGTGAGCAACTCACCCCCACTGGTCAAAGCTGTTGATGTCCCAGATGATGCCCTGAACGAAGATCTTGTGCTCATACATGGCTGCAGAAGTGACAGACAGGGCACATCAGGGCTCCACAAGCCCATTCCAACCTACCCCAAGCCAGGACCTTTCCCCTACTCACTCACCGACCAAGGCTCCAAGCATGAATGGTGTGAGCTTGGTGAACACAATAGAGTTGGTTGGGCGATTTCCTTCAAAGACCTGCAGAAAACACCAAGGAATGTCTCCAAGAGAGTCCTGATCCCTAAACCCCTTGAAGGGAAGCACACCCTGCCCCAGAGGCTGAGACGTGCAGGTCTGTGAGGACAGGCCCTCCCATTCTGTAGGACAAGCCAGGCATGCCCCAAGCCCCTGCCTGGTGCCATAGCTTCACACCTCCAACTCCAGCATGCACCCCAAAGCCAAATGCAGAAGTGCTGACCTTATGTGGCAGCAGCCTCTCAAGGTCCTCTGGACTCTTGCCCGCAGCCTGGAGCTCCTTTCGGGCCTCCTCCGTCGATTTTCCCCTCATCAGGGCCTCTGTCTGGGCCAAGAAGTTGGCCAGGAGGATCTGATGAGCGAGACATCAGTTATGCTTGAGAGCACTGTCTGGGCTTCAGGCAGAGGGACAAGACCGCCTGGTACTTCTCAGCAGGGGTCAGTCCCAGCCTGGGTCACTCGCTGTACAGCTCAGTTGGAGCGAGGGGGACACATCCGATGACACCACAAGGCAGGGAACAGTGATAACTGCTCTTTAAGAACTACACACCAGTGGCCAGGCGCGGTGGCTCACGCCTGTAATCCCGACACTTTGGAAGGCCGAGGCGGATGGACCACGAGGTCAGGAGCTCGAGACCAGCCTGACCAACATGGTGAAACCCGTCTCTACTAAAAATACCAAAAAAAAATTTAGCTGGGCATGGTGGCGCATGCCTGTCATCAGGCAGGAGGCTGAGGCAGGAGAATCACCTGAACCTGGGAGGCAGAGGGTGCAGTGAGCCAAGATCACGCCACTGCACTCCAGCCTGGGCGACAGACCTAGACTCCATCTCAAAAAAAAAAAAAGAACTACACACCACTTGCTAGGGGTCCTGCTCACAATTTTACCAACATCTATCTTTTAAGATCCTAAGAAGGTAGCTGGGCGTGGTGGTGTGCAACTGTAATTCCAGCTACTCCGGAGGCTTAAGCACGAGAATCACTTGAACCCAGGAGGCTGAGGTTGCAGTGAGTCAAGGTCGCACTACTGCACTCCAGCCGGGGCAACAAAGTGAAACGGTGTCTCGAAAAAAAAATAATACTAAGATCCTAAGGAGGAAAGGCATCATCGCCCTGTTCTAGTAGAGCCTTGGGTTCCACAAGTCCACAGTGCTGGATCACAGAACTATAGACAGGAACAATCAGAATTCAATCCAGCTCACTGACTCCCAAGATTGTGCTACCGTAACCCTGTGCT
Organism: Homo sapiens; assembly: GCF_000001405.40. Lineage (NCBI taxonomy): Eukaryota > Metazoa > Chordata > Mammalia > Primates > Hominidae > Homo > Homo sapiens. The sequence continues at coordinate 63,331 of NW_025791809.1, read as the reverse complement.
GCTCTGCACACCTGAGACAAAGCACAGTAAATTCTCTGAAGGAGTTCGAGGGCAGCTTGGGCAACATACTGAGACTCCATCTCTACAAAAAATAAAAATAAAAAAATCAGCTGGGTGTGGTGGCGTGTGCCTGTTCCCAGCTACTCAGGAGGCTGAGGTAGGAGGATTGCTTGAGCCCAGGAGGGTGAGGCTGCAGAGAGCCTGATTGTGCCACTGCACCCCAGCCTGGGCAACAGAGCAAGACTCTGTCTCTTTAAAAAAAAAAAAAAACTTAGCCAGGCATGTTGTACATCTGTGGTCCCAGCTACTCAGGAGGCTGAGATAAAAGGATTGCTTGAGCCCAGGAGTTCAAGGCTGTAGTGAGCTATGATTGGGCCAGTGCACTCCAGCCTCAGCAACAGAGTGACATGCTATCTCTAAAATAAAATAAATAAATAAAATAAACAAAAGGGGAGATTTTCCTGGATTATCTAGTAGCCCCAATCTAATCACACTGGCCCTTAAAAGTAAAAGAGGGCCAGGCACGGTAGCTCATGCCTGTAATCCCAAAACTTTGGGAGGCCGAGGCAGGAGAATCACTTGAGCCCAGGAGTTGGAGACCAGCCTAGGCAACATAGTGAAATCTGGCCTCTACAAAAAGTTTAACAGTTAGCCAGGCTGTTAGTGCCTGTAAGTGCCTGTAAGTGCCTGTTAGTGCCTGTAAGTCTCAGCTATTTGAGGGGCCGAGGCAGGAAGACTGCTTGAGCCTGGGACGTTGAGAATACAGTGAACTGTGATCATGCCACTGTAAGTCCAGCCTAGACAACACAGCATGACACTGTCACTTAGGGAACAAAAGCAAAATGTAGAAGAGGAAGGTAAACAAGTCAGAGAGATGCAACAGAAGTGGCAAGACAGAATCAAAGCTTCAGAGAAGGATTTAACCTGCCATTGCTGGTTCTGCAGTGAAGAGGCCCACAAGCTAGAGGATGCAGGTGACCTCTGAGAATCTGAGAACGACCTTCAGCCCACAGCAAGGAAGCTGGACTTCAGTTCCACAACCATAGAGAAATGAATTCTGCCAACCACCTGACAAGCAGGTCAAAGGCTTTTCCCCTAAGGTCTCCAGAAAGAAACACAGTCCTGATGACACCTTGATTTCAGCCTGCAAGACTCTAAGCAGAGACACATCAGGGCCTGCTGGATATTTGAGCTTCAGAAACTCTTCAGATAGCCCAGGAAGGTGGCTCATGCCTATAATCCCAGCACTTAGGGAGGCCGAGGCAGGTAGATTACTTGAGGTCATGAGTTCAAGACCAGCCTGGCCAACATAGTGAAACCCCCCCTTTACCAAAACTACAAAAATTAGCTGGCCATGGTGGTGAGTGCCAGTAGTCCCAGCTACTTGGGAGGCTGAGGCATAAGAATCACTTGAGGCCGGGAGGGGAAGGTTGCAGTGAGCCAAGATCGTGCCACTGCACTCCAGCCTGGGCGACAGAGCAAGACTCTGTCCCCCCTCCCCACCCCACAAAAGAAGAGTGTTGTTTTAAGCCTCCATGTTTGTTATCATTTGTTACGGCAGGAATAGAAAACTAACGTGATTGCCAACCAATGCACCAGGTTTTCAGAGGTCTGGGTGCAATGTGAGCCAGACCCCCCAGATGGGGCCAGATGGGGGCTCTTACCTTGTGATGCAGACCCTTCCGTATGGGGTGCTGGGTCTGGACCGGGATGAGGAAGTCACAGGGTATCATCTTGGTGCCTGTGAAGGGCACTGTGGTCACCCACATGACCCCAGCCCATGGGAGCTAGCCATATGGCCTAGAGGAGGGCACTGACCTAAGTGAGATATCTCTTCTGGAAGATCCTTTCCCTCCCCCAACATCACCCTTCCCAGGCCACAGGGGCCTACCTTGGTGGATGAGCTGGTAAAAAGCATGCTGGCCATTGGTCCCTGGCTCCCCCCACACAATGGGGCCTGTCTGGTGGTCCACACGGGTTCCAGATTTGGTGATGTATTTCCCATTGGACTCCATGTCGCCCTGGAAAAGGAACAGAAACCCAGTTCTTGGCAAAATGAAAGAACATTTAAAAAGAAAGAAAGAGGCTGAGCGCAGTGGCTCAAGCCTGTAATTCCAGCACTTTGGGAGGCCAAGGCAGGCGGATCACCTGAGGTTGGAAGTTTGAGACCAGCCTGATTAACATGGAGAAACCCTGTCTCTACTAAAAATACAAAATTAGCCAGGTGTGATGGCGCATGCCTGTAATCCCAGCTGCTTGGGAGGCTGAGGCAGGAGAATCGCTTGAACCCGGGAGGCGGAGGTTGTGGTGAGCCGAGATCATGCCACTGCACTCCAGACTGGGCAACAAGAGCAAAACTCCAACTCAAAAAAAAAGAAAAAAAAAAAAAAAGGAAAAGAAAGGAAAAGAAAGAAAAAAAACCCAACCCTCTTCCTGCAAGTCTTGATCCTTCACACACTGTACGCAAATCCTGCTCCTTCCTGCACCATGCCAAAGTCCTGCCCAGATGCTCCAGGCAGACCCACCCTGCCCTGACACCGTGAGGTGGACCTGCACACGTGTCCACAGGCACGATCCCCTTCCTCCCCACACCAGTGAGGACACAGCCTCCCAACCTTTCCTGCTTAAGCCACTGTGCAGGAAGGACTCATGCCCAGGAAAAGGTGGGTCTGGAGGTCAGGCAAGGACCTCCCTAAAGACAAAATCGGTCACAAAATCAGCTCATTTCTTAAGGGAGAGCAGGCTGGGGTCCAGAGTGCACAGCTTCTTTTTTTCCCAAAGAGACAGAGTCTCACTCTGTCACTCAGGCTGGAGTACAGTGGTAGAATCATTGCTCACTGAAGCCTCGACCTCTTGGGCTCAAGCAAGCCTCTTGCCTCAGCCTCCCAAGTAGCTGGGACTATAGGTGCCGCACCACCATGCCTGGCTACTGTTAGTTTTTGTGGGTTTTTTTTGTAGAGACCGGGCCTCACTACGTTGCCCAGGCTGGTCTTGAACTCCTGGGCTCAAGCAATTCCCCCCAGCCTCTGCCTCCCAAGGTGCTGGGATTGCAGGCATCAGCCACCATGCCTGGCTAAGAGTACAGCCTTTGAGGGCTGTCACCACAACTAAATGCTAGGCTTTGGGTACCCACCTGGGCCCTGGTCATGGCAACCCTCACCAAGGCAGCTGGGATTTGGGGAACCTTGGCCTCTCCTTCAGTCACAGGATTTGCTTCCAGGTGTTGGTGAAGCCTTCTGTACCTGCCCAGAGCAACTCAAGAGCTGCTGGACAGGGACTGGCTTTGTACTAAACAAAAGCAAGGATAGGGTTGGGCATGGTGGCTCATGCCTGTAATCCCAGCACTTTGGGAGGCCAAGGCAGGTGGATCGCTTGAGGCCAGGAGTTCGAAACCAGCCTGGGCAACATAGTGAAACCCCGTTTCCACTAAAAATACAAAAATTAGCCAGGCAAGGTGGTGCATGCCTGCAATCCCAGCTACTCGGGAGGCTGAGGCACAGGAATTGCTTGAACTCAGGAAGCGGAGGTTGCAATGAGCCGAGATCGCGCCACTGCACTCCTGCCTGGGAAACAGAGTGAGAATCTGTTCAAAAAAAAAAAAGCAGGGACAGGTGTGGAAAAGCTTTCTGGGACATAATGTGACTAGGAGAGGGCCTGCTAAGCCTCTCGGGGGGCTCTGGAGATCCCAAGGGAGAAGAGGGCCATGTAGTCCAAAGAGGCCACCACAGACTAGATACACACTTGCTTTTCTGGAGGGATAAAGGCAGTACAGGCTATAAGGGATTCCAGCTTGCAGCCCCACCCTATGGCCAAATCCCACCTCCTCAGACATGGACAGACCCAGGTCCTCATACCTGTACCAGATCCTTCCTCCCCAGATACTAACAGACCTAGGGCCTCATACCAGGGCTAGATCCTACGTCCTCAGACACTATGGTAGGCATGCATAGTGATGTGCAAGAAAGAAGTGACCCCAGCTGAGAAACATCCCCTGAGTCAAGCCAGGACCTCCCTAGCCAGGGCACCATGATCACCAGTCATGCCCCTCCCATGGTGATCAAACTCAGATGACACTCAAATGGAACCAACCTCAGTTACAAAGATTCATCCTGAGACAAGGAGCACAGATGGACCTTGGCCAGGCCCAAGGGCAATGGGGCAAAGAGCTCCTGGAGGAGCTGAAACCCAGGTTCCTAGACCTCCCAGACCCCCCACAAATCCTGCTGACTCCAAGGCCTGGCTTGGCAGCTGGTACCTGCTGGAAGTACGCAGCAAAGCGGTGCAGGTACTGGTCATAGGGCAGCATGGCGTGTGTCTCACACCCAAAGCAGTTGATGTACCAGATACCCAGCAGGGCCAGCAAGACGGGGGCGTTCTTCTCCAGGGGCGTCGTGCGGAAGTGCTGGTCCTGAAACAGGAGCAGGATGAGTGGGAGCTGAGCAGCTGCACGGGGAGGGGAGGGACAGGACAGTGGGGGAGAAAGCGGGGGACCAGGACCAACACACGCGCCTCTGGCCAGCACTTGGCAGAGAACCAGCCTCAGCACTCACCATCCAGTGAGCCCCCGAGAGCAGCTGCTCGAAGTTGTCAAAACCTGTGACACAAAAGCAGAGTCAACAGAAGTGGCCACACCCTGCGTCCTGTGGGCAGTGGGCACAGCTCCTTCTGCAACGAAGGAAGGCTGCATGGAGAGCCAGAAGATACGACATGGGAGGACTCGGACCTAGACAAAGCCCCTCCAGTGAGAGGTGGCCCTGAGTGCAGGGATCTGACTCTGCCTAGGATAGGAGAGAAACAGGACTGCAGTTGTGAGGGGCAAAGACGGGGGCCAACTTGCACACGCAAAAAAACCCAGACCTTCCTTCTGGACATGAAATAAATATCCCAGCCAGCTGCAGAGAGGCCAGCAGCCTGTGAGGACAGCATGATGTTCAGGGACACAAGCCCCCTACCCCGACCTTAGACTGCAACACTGTCTCCCACAGGGGCTGCAAGACACAGAAACACACTCACCCACGTGCAGGGCAATGGAGAGTCCGATGGCCGACCACAGCGAGTAGCGTCCTCCCACCCACTAGGAGAGACAGGACAAGGTGCTGAGGGAGGGCCGGCACACCCCGCCCCCCACCTCCTGCCGGAAACCCTGTCCCTGGTCTTGCACAGGGGCGTCTCGGAGGGCCCTGGCCCAACCCACCTCCAGGAAGCAAGGCAGCAGGCAGGTGCTGGCAACACATGGGAAGACCAACAGGGCAGACTACAGATGACTGACCACAGCCACAAGACAAACTGAAGAGCTTACCGTGGTCTTCCCTGAGATGTCGGGCCCTGTCTCTGCAGACACCAGCAGACCCAGGACCTCATACCTGTGCCAGGGCCCACCTCCTCAGACACGGACACACCCAGGGCCTCATACCTGCGCCAGGGCCCACCTCCTCAGACACGGACAGACCCCAGGCCTCATACCTGTGCCAGGGCCCACCTCCTCAGACACGGACACACCCAGATCCTCATACTCATACCAGATCCTACCTCCTCAGATATGGACAGACCCAGGGTCTCACACCCATGCCCAGCCTCACCTCCCCAGACACTGGCAGACCCAAGGCCTCATACCTGCACACAGCTTCAACTCTTTAGACATGGTCAGACCCAGATGCTCATGCCTGTGCCAGATCCTACCTCCTCAGACATTGAAAAACCCAGATCCTCATACCTGTATGAGATCCTACCTCCTCAGATACTGACAGACCCAGATCCTCATACCAGGGCCAGATCCTACTTTTTCAGACACTAGAAGACACAGACCCTCCTACCAGGGACAGATCCTACCTCCTCAAATACTGACAAACCCAGATCCTCATACCAGGGCCAGATCCAACCACTTCAGACACTGACAGACTCAGGTCTTCATACCTGTATCAGATGCTACCTCCTCAGACATAGACCCAGATCCTAATACCTGTATCAGATCCTACTTCCTCAGATACAGAGACATGAAGATCCTCACACCTGTACCAGATTCCTAATTCCTCAGACACTGACACACACACAGATCCTCATACCTGTACCAGATTCCTACCTCTTCAGATATTGACAGACTCAGATCCTCATAAGGGGGCCAGATCCAACCTCCTCAGACATGAACAGACGCAGATCCTCACACCTGTACCAGATCCTACCTCTTCAGCCACGGGGGCAGGGAGCAAACCCAGATCCTCACACCTACACCAGATCCTACCTCCTCAGACACTGCAATACCAAATACTCATGCCTGTACGAGGTCATACCTCCTGGATACAGACAGACCCAAATCCTCAAACCTGTACCAGATTCCTACGTCCTCAGATATTGACAGAACCAGCTCCTCATACTGGTACGAGATCCTACCTCCTCAGACATGAACAGACCCAGATCCTCCAGGGCCAGACCCTACCTCCTCAGATACTGACAGATCCAGATCCTCATACCAGGGCCAGATCCTACCTTCTCTGACACTGACAGACCCAGATCCTTATAAGTGCACCAGATCCTCCCTCCTAAGACATGAACAGACCAAGATCCTCATACTCATGCCAGATCCTCCCTCCTGAGATATGGACAGACCCAGAACCTACCTCCTCAGACATGGAGAGACCCAGATCCTCATAACAGGGCCAGGTCCTACCTTCTCAGACACTGACAACCCAGATCCTCATGCTTGTACCAGATTCCTACCTGCTCAGATATTGAAAGACCCAGATCCTCAAACCAGGGCCAGATCCTACCTTCTCAGACATTGAAAAACCTAGATCCTTGTATCTATGCCAGATCCTACCTCCTCAGACATGGACAGACCCAGAGCCTCTCACCTGTACCAGAGCCTACCTCCTAAGACATTGACAGACTCAGATCCTCATACCAGGGCCAGATCCTACTTCCTCAGATATTGACAGATCCAGATCCTTATACCCATGCTCAGATACTACCTCTTCAGCTACTGACAGACCCAGATCCTCATAATCCTAATGGGCCAGATCCTGCCTTCTCAGACATGAACAGACCCAGATCCTTATACCTGCTCCAGACCCTACCTCCGCAGACATGAACAGACCCAGATCCTCATACTCATGCCAGATCCTACCTCCTCAGACACGGACAGACTCAGATCCTACCTCCTCAGATATGGAGAGATCCACATCCTCATACCAGAGCCAGGTCCTACCTCCTCAGACATTGAAAGATGCAGATATATCATATGTGTACCAGATTCCTACCGCCTCCAACCCTGACAGACACAGATCCTCATGCCTGTAACAGATTCCTACCTCCACAGACATAGAGAGACCCTGATCCTCGTACCTCTACTAGATTCCTACCTCCTCAGATACTGAAAGACCCAGATCATCATACCAGGGCCAGATACTACCTTCTCAGACATTGACAGATCCAGATCCTTCTATTTGTGCCAGATCCCACCTCCTCAGACATGGACAGACCCAGATCCTAATACCTGCATCAAATCCTACCTCCTCAGACATGATCCTACATGAACAGACCCAGATCCTTGTATCTGTACCAGATTTCTACCTTCTCACACATGGAGAGACCCAGATCCTCATACCTGTACCAGATCCTACCTCCTCAGAGATGGACAGACCCAGATCCTCACATCGGTATCAGATCCTACCTCCAGACATGGAGAGACCCAAATCCTAACACCTGTACCACATCCTACCTCCTCAGACACTGACAGACACAGATCCTCATGCAAGGGCCAGATCCTACCTCCTCAGATACTGGCAGTCCCAGATCCTTCTACCGGCACCCAGATCCTACCTCCTCAGACACTGACAGACCAAGTTCTTCATGATCCTCACACCAGGGCCAGATCCTACCTGCTCAGACACTGACAGACCCAGATCCTCATAAGCCTCATACCAGGGCCAGATCCCACCTCCTCAGACACTGACAGACCCAGATCCTCATACCTGTACCAGATTCCTACCTCCTCAGACAGACAGACCCAGATCTTCACACATGTACTAGATTGGTACCTCCTCAGATATTGACAGACCCAGATCCTCATACCAAGGCCAGATCCTACCTTCTCAAACAATTGAAAGACCCAGATCCTTATATCTGTGCCAGATCCTACCTCTGCAGACATGAACAGAGCCAAATCCTCATAGTCCTGCCAGATCCTACCTCCGCAGACATGGACAGACCCCGACCCTACCTCCTCAGACATGGAGAGATGCAGATCCGCATACCAGGGCCAGGTCTTATCTCTTCATACATTGACAGACCCAGATCCTCATGCCTGTAACAGATTCCTACCTCCTCAGACATGAAGAGACTCAGATCCACATACCTGTACTAGATTTGTACCTCCTCAGATATTGAAAGACCCATATCCTCAAATCAGGGCCAGATTCTATCTTCTCAGACATTGAAAGACCTAGATCCTTATATCTGAGCCAGATCCTACCTCCTCAGACATGGACAGACCCAGATCCTCACACCTCTACCAGTTCCTACTTACTCATACATGGAGAGACCCAGATCCTAACACCTGTACCACAGCCTACCTTCTAAGACACTGACAGACTCAGATCCTCATACCAGAGGCAGATCCTACCGCCTCAGATACTGACAGACCCAGATCCTCATATCTGTACCAGATCCAACCTCCTCAGACATGGAGAGACCCAGATCCTCATACCAGCACCAGATTCCTACCTCCTCAGATACTGAAAGACCCAGATCCTCATACAAGGGCCAGATCCTACCTTTTCAGACATTGAAAGATCCAGATCCTTATACCTGCTCCAGATCCTACCGCTGCAGACATGGACAGACCCAGATCCTCATACTCATGCCAGATCCGACCTCCTCAGACACGGGCACACCCAGATCCTACCTCCTCAGACATGGAGAGACCCAGATCCTCATATCAGGGCCAGGTCCTATCTCCTCAGACATTGACAGATGCAGATCCACATACGTGTACCAGATTCCTACCTCCTCAAACACTGACAGGCCCAGATCGTCATACCAGGGAGAGATCTTACCTCCTCACACATTGACAGACCCAGATCCTCATGCCTATAACAGACTCCTACCTCCTCAGTCATGAAGAGACCCAGATCTTCATACCTGTACCAAATTCCTACCTCCTCAGATACTGAAAGACCCAGATCCTCATACAAGGGCCAGATCCTACATTCTCAGACACTGATAGACCCAGATCCCTATAATTGCGCCGTCCTACCTCCTGAGACATGAACAGACCCAGATCCTTATATCTGTGCCAGATACTACCTCCTCAGACATGGACAGACCAAGATCCTCATACCTGTACCAGATCCTACCTCCTCAGAAATTGACAGACTCAGATCCTCATACCATGGCCAGATCCTACCTCCTCAGATACTGACAGATACAGATCCTTATACCCGCACCCAGATACTACCTCTTCAGATACTGACAGACCCAGATCCTCAAAATCCTAATGGGCCAGATCCTACCATTTCAGACATGGATAGACCCAGATCCTCAAAACAGGACCAAATCCTACCTCCTCAGACACTGACAGACCCAGATCCTCATACCTGTACCACAGCCAACCTTCTCAGACATGGAGAGACCCAGATCCTCATACCTGTACTAGATTCATTCCTCCTCAGATATTGACAGACCCAGATCCTCATACCAAGGCCAGAGCCTACCTTCGCAGACATTAAAAGACCCAGATGCTTATATCTGCGCCAAATCCTACTTCCCCAGACATGGACAGAGCCAGATCCTCATACTCATGCCAGATCCTACCTCCTCAGACATGAAGAGACCCAGATCCTCATACCAGGGCCAGGTCCTACCTCCTCAGATGTGGGCAGACCAAGAAACTAGTATGTGTACCAAATCCTACCTCCTCAGACATGAACGGACCCAGATCCTCACACCTGTACCAGATCCCACCTCCTCAGACATCTACAGACTCAGATCCTCATACCAGGGCCAGATCCTACCTCCCCAGATACTGACTGCCAGATCCTTGTACTGGCACCCAGATACTACCTCATCAGATACTGAGAGACCCATATGTTCGTAATCCTCATATCACAGTCAGATCCTACCTTCTCAGACATGGACAGACCCCGATCCTCATACTGGGGCCAGATCCTACCTCCTTAGACAATGACAGACCCAGATCCTCAGGCCTGTAACAGTTTCCTACCTCCTCAGACATGAAGAGACCCAGATCCATATACCACAGCCAGGTCCTACCTCCTCAGACATTGACAGACCCAGATCCTCATACCTGTACCAGATTCCTACCTCCTCAGATATTGAAAGACCGAGATCCTCAAACAAGGGCCAGATCCTACCTTCTCAGACATTAAAAGACCTAGATCCTGATATCCATGCCAGATCCGATCTCCTCAGACATGGACAGACCCAGATCCTAATACATGCACCAAATCCTACCTCCTCAGACACGAACACACCCAGATCCTTATATCTGTACCAGATTCATAACTCCTTAGACATGGACAGACCCAGATCCCAATACCTGTACCAGATCCTACTTCGTGAGACATGGAGAGACCCAGATCTTCACACCAGTACCACATCCTACCTCCTCAGACATGGACAGACTCAGATCCTCACACCTGGGCCAGATCTTACCTCCTCAGACACTGACAGATCCAAATCCTTATACCTGCACCCAGATCCTACCTCCTCAGATACTGACAGTACCAGATCCTTATACCTGCACCCAGATCCTACCTCCTCAGATACTAACAGACCCAGATCCTCATAATCCTAATGGGTCAGATCCTACCTTCTCAGACAAGGACAGACCCAGATACCCATACCAGGGCAAGATCCTATCTCCTCAGACGCTGACTGACCCAGATCCTCACACCTGTACCAGATTCAACCCCCTCAGGGATGGAGAGATCCACGTCCTCATATGAGCACCAGATTCCTACCTCCTCAGATATTGACAGACCCAGATCCTCATACCAGGGCCAGATCCTACCCTCTCAGACATTGAAATACCCAGATCCTTATACCTGCTCCAGATCCTACCTCCGCATATGTGGACAGACCCAGATCCTCATACTCATGCCAGATCCTACCTCCTCAGACATGGACAGATCCAGATCCTACCTTCTCAGACATGGGGAGACACAGATCATCATACCAGGCCAGATCGTACCTCTTCACACATTGACAGACCCAGATCCTCATGCCTGTAACAGATTCCTCCCTCCTCAGACATGGAGAGACCCAGATCCTCATACCTGTACTAGATTCCTACCTCTTCAGATATTGAAAGACTCAGATCCTCATACCAGGGCCAGATCCTACCTTCTCAGACATGAAAAGACCCAGACCCTTATGCCTGCTCCAGATCCTAACTCCTCAGACATGGACAGACCCAGATCTTCACACTTGTACCAGATCCCACCTGCTCAGACACTGACAGACCCAGATCCTCATACCTGTACCTGATCCTACCTCCTCAGATATAAACAGACCCAGATCCTCACACTTGTACCAGATCCTACCTCCAGACATGGAGAGACCCAGATCTTCATACCTGTATCAGATTCGTACCTCCTCAGATATTGAACGACCCAGATCCTCAAACCAAGGCCAGATCCTACCTCCTCAGATACTGACAGATCCAGATCCTTATACCCACACCCAGATCCTACCTCCTCAGATAGTGACAGTCTCAGATCCTCATAATCCTCCTATCAGGGCCGGATCCTACCTTCTCAGACATGGACAACCCAGAGCCTCATACAGGGGCCAGATCCTACTTCCTCAGACCCTGATAGACCCAGACCCTCATACCTGTACCCGCAGCTAGATCCCACCTCCTCAGATACTGACAGACTCAAATCCTCATAAGCCTCATACCAGGGCCAGATCCTACCTCCTCAGACACTGACAGAACCAGATCCTCCAACCTGTACCAGATTCCTACCTCCTCAGACATAGACAGACCTAGATCCTCACACTTGTACCATATCCTACCCCCTCGGACCCAGATCCTCATACCTGTACTAGATTCGTACATCCTCAGATACTGACAAACTCAGATCCTCATACCAAGGCCAGATCCTACCTTGTCAGACATTGAAAGACCCAGATCCTTATATCTGTGCCAGATATAGTTATGCCAGATCCTACCTCTGCAGACATGGAAAGACCCAGATCCTACCTCCACAGACATGAAGAGACCCAGTTCTGCATACCAGGGCCAGGTCCTACCTCCTCAGACATTCACAGACCCAGATCCTCATGCCTGTAACAGATTCTTACCTCCTCAGAAATGAAGAGACCCAGATCCGTATACCAGGGCAATGTCCTACCTCCTCAGACTTGACAGACCCAGATCATCATACCTGTACCAGATTCCTACCTCCTCAGATATTGAAAGACCTAGATCCTCAAACGAGGGACAGATCCTACCTTCTCAGACATTAAAAGACCTAGATCCTTATATCTGTGCCAGATCCTACCTCCTCAGACATGGACAGACCCAGATCCTAATACATACACCAAATCCTACCTCCTCAGACATGAACACACCCAGATCCTCATACCTGTACCAGATCCTACTTCCTGAGACATGGAGAGACCCAGATCTTCACACCTGTACCAGACCCTACCTCCTCAGACATGGACAGACTCAGATCCTCATACCAGGGCCACATCTTACCTCCTAAGACACTGACAGATCCAGATCCTTATACCTGCACCCGGATCCTACCTCCTAAGATACTGACAGACCCAGAGCCTCATAATCCTAATGGGCCAGATCCTACCTTCTCAGACATGGACAGACCCAGATACCCACACCAGGGTCAGATCCTACTTCCTCAGACAGTGACAGACTCAGATCCTCATACCTGTACCAGATTCAACCCCCTCAGAGATGGAGAGACCCACATCCTCATATGAGAGCCAGATTCCTACCTCCTCAGATATTGACAGACCCAGATCCTCATACCAGGGCCAGATCTTACCTCTTCACACATCGACAGAACCAGATCTTCATGCCTATAACAGATTCCTACCTTCTCAGACGTGGAGAGACCCAGATACTCATACCTGTACTAGATTCCTGGTATATAACTCCTCAGATATTGAAAGACTCAGATCCTCATGCCAGGGCCAGACCCTACCTTCTCAGACATGGTCAGACTCAGATCCTCATACTCATCCCAGATCCTACCTCTGCAGACATGGACAGACCCAGATCCTCATACTCATGCCAGATCCTACCTCCTCAGACATGGGGAGACACAGATCCTCATACCAGGGCCAGATCTTATCTCTTCACACATTGACAGACCCAGATCTTCATGCCTATAACAGATTTCTACCATCTCAGACATGGAGAGACCCAGATACTCATACCTGTACTAGATTCCTACCTTCTCAGATATTGACAGACTCTGATCCTCATACCAGGGCCAGATCCTACCTTCTCAGATATTGAAAGATCCAGATCCTTATATCTGTGCCAGATCCTACCTCCTCAGACATGGACAGACCCAGATCCTCATACTCATGCCAGATCCTACCTCCTCAGATATGGACAGGCCCAGATCCTCACACTTGTACCAGATCCTACCTGCTCAGACATAGAGAGATCCAGATCTTCACACTTGTACCACATCCTACCTCCTGAGACATTGACAGACTCAGATACCCATACCAGCACCAGATCCTACCTCCTCAGATACTGACAGATCCAGATCCTTAAACCGGCACCCAGATCCTACCTCCTCAGACACTGATACACTCGATCCTCATACCAACACCTGATCCTACCTCCTCAGACACTGACAGACTCAATCCTCATACCAGGGCAAGATCCTACCTTCTCAGACATGGTCAGACCCAGATCCTCATACCAGGGCCAGATCCTACCTCCTCAGACACTGACAGACCCAGATCCTCACACCTGTACCAGATTCCTACCTCCTCAGATACAGACAGACCCAGATCTTCACACCTGTACCAGATCCTACCTCCTCAGACATAAACAGACCCAGATCCTCATACCTGTACCAGATTCGTATTTCCTCAGATATTGACAGACCCAGATCCTCATACCTGCGCCAGATCCTACCTCTGCAGACATGGACAGACCGAGACCCTCATACTCATGCCAGATCCTACCTCCTCAGACACAGGCAGATCCAGATCCTACCTTCTCAGACATGGGGAGACACAGATCTTCATACCAGGGCCAGGTCTTACCTCTTCACACATTGACAGACGCAGATCTTCATGTCTGTAAGAGATTCCTACCTCTTCCAACATGGAGAGACCCAGATCCTCACACCTGTACTATATTCCTATCTCCTCAGATATTGAAAGACTCAGATCCTCATACCATGGCCAGATCCTACCTTCTCAGACATTGAAAGACCCAGATCCTTATACCTGCTCCAGATCCTACCTCCTCAGACATGGACAGACCCAGATCCTTACACTTGTACCAGATCCTACCTGCTCAGAAACAGAGAGACCCAGATCCTCACACCTGTACAGATCCTACCTCCTCAGATATAAACAGACCCAGATCCTCACACTTGTACCAGATCCTACCTCCAGACATGGAGAGAACCAGATCTTCATACCTGTATCAGATTCGTACCTCCTCAGATATTGAACGACCCAGTTCCTCAAACCAAGGCCAGATCCTACCTCCTCAGATACTGACAGATCCAGATCCACCTCCTCAGACACTGACAGACTCGATTCTCATACCAGCACCAGATCCTACCTCCTTAGACGCTGATAGACTCGATCCTCATACCAGCACCAGATCCTACCTCCTCAGACACTGACAGACTCGATCCTCATACCAGCGCCAGATCCTACCTCCTCAGATACTGACAGACCCAGATCCTCATAATCCTATCAGGGCCAGATCCTACCTTCTCAGACATGAGCAACCCAGAGCCTCATACGGGGGCCAGATCCTACCTCCTCAGACACTGACACACCCAGATCCTCATACCTTTACTCACACCCAGATCCTACCTCCTCAGATACTGACAGACCTAAATCCTCATAAGCCTCATACCAGGGCCAGATCCTACCTCCTCAGATACTGACAAACCTAAATCCTCATAAGCCTCATACCAGGGCCAGATCCTACCTTATCAGACATGGACAGACCCAGATCCTCATACCACGGCCAGATCCTACCTCCTCACATATTGACAGACCCAGATCCTCATACCTGTACCAGATCCTACTTCCTTAGACATGCAGAGACCCAGATCCTTATACCAGGGCCCGATCTTACCTCCTAAGACACTGACAGATCCAGATCCTTATACCTGCACCCGGATCCTACCTCCTCAGATACTGACAGATCCAGATCCTCACACCTGTACCAGATCCTACTTCCTCAGACATAGAAAGACCCAGATCCTTATACCAAGGCAAGATGTTACCTCCTAAGACACTGACAGATCCAGATCCTTATACCTGCACCCGGATCCTACCTCCTCAGAAACTGACAGACCCAGATCCTCATAATCCTAATGGGCCAGACCCTACCTTCTCAGACAAGGACAGACCCAGATACCCATACCAGGATCAGATTCTACCTCCTCAGACACTGACAGACCCAGATCTCATACCTATACAAGATTCAACCCCCTCAGAGATGGAGAGACCCACATCCTCATACAAGGGCCGGATTCCGACCTCTTCAGATATTGACAGACCCAGATCCTCATACCAGGGCCAGATCCTACCTTCTCAGACATTGAAAGACCCAGATCCTTATACCTGCTCCATATCCTACCACTGCAGACATGGACAAACCCAGATCCTCATACTCATGCCAGATCCTACCTCCTAAGACATGGGCAGACCCAGAGGCTACCTCCTCAGACATGGGGAGACACAGATCCTCATACCAGGGCCAGATCTTACCTCTTCACACACTGACAGACCCAGATCTTCATGCCTATAACAGATTTCTACCTTCTCAGACATGGAGAGACCCAGATACTCATACCTGTACTAGATTCCTACCTTCTCAGATATTGAAAGACTCAGATCCTCATACCAGGGCCAGATCCTACCTTCTCAAACATTGAAAGATCCAGATCCTTATATCTGCGCCAGATCCTACCTCCCCAGACATGGACAGACCCAGATCCTCACACTTTTACCAGATCCTACCGGATCAAACATACAGAGACCCAGATCTTCACACTTGTACCAGATCCTACCTCCTCAGACATTGACAGACTCAGATCCTCATACCAGCGCCAGATCCCACCTCCTCAGATACTGACAGATCCAGATCCTAATACCGGCACCCAGATCCTACCTCCTCAGATACTGACAGTCCTAGATCCTCATAATCCTCCTAGGGCCAGATCTTACTGTCTCAGCCATGAGCAACCCAGAGCCTCATACCAGGGCCACATCCCACCTCCTCAGACACTGACAAAACAGATCCTCAAACCTGTACCCGCACCGAGATCCTACCTCCTCAGATACTGACAGACCCAAATCCTCATAAGCCTCATACCAGGGCCAGATCCTACCTTCTCAGACATGGTCAGACCCAGATCCTCATACCAGGGCCAGATCCTACCTCCTCAGACACTGAAAGACCCAGATCCTCATACCTGTACCAGATTCCTACCTCCTCAGATATAGACAGACCCACATCTTCACACCTATACAAGATCCTACCTCCTCGGACATAGACAGACCCAGATCCTCATACCTGTACCAGATTCGTACCTCCTCAGATATTGACAGACCCACATCCTCATACCTGTACCTGATCCTACTTCCTCAGACATGGAGAGACCCAGATCCTCATACCTGTGCCAGATCCTACCTCTGCAGACATGGACAGACCCAGATCCTCATACTCATGCCAGATCCTACCTCTTCAGACACAGGCAGATCCAGATCCTACCTCCTTAGATCTTGTATCTTCACACATTGACAGACCCATATCTTCATGCCTGTAACACATTCCTACGTCTTCAGACATGAAGAGACCCAGATCGTCATACCTGTACTAGATTCCTACCTCCTCAGATATTGAAAGACTCAGATTCTCAAACCAGGGCCAGATCCTACCTTCTCAGACATGGACAGACCCAGATCCTCACACTTGTACCAGATCCTACCTGCTCAGACATAGAAAGACCCAGATCCTCACACCTGTACCAGATCCTACCTCCTCAGACACTGACAAACTCGATCCTCATACCAGCACCAGATCCTACCTCCTCAGACACTGACAGATCCAGATCCTTATATCGGCACCCAGATCCTACCTCCTCAGATACTGACAGATCCAAATCCTCATAATCTTCCTATCAGGGCCAGATCCTACCTTCTCACACATGGGCAACCCAGAGCCTTATACGGGGACCAGATCCTACCTCCTCAGACACTGACGCACCCAGATCCTAACTCCTCAGATACTGACAGACCTAAATCCTCATAAGCCTCATACCAGGGCCAGATCCTACCTTCTCAGACAGACCCCGATCCTCATACCATGGACAGATCCTACCTCCTCACATATTGACAGACCCAGATCCTCATACCTGTACCAGATCCTACTTCCTCAGACATGGGAAGACCTAGAGCTTTATACCAGGGCCAGATCTTACCTCCTAA
This sequence comes from Homo sapiens, assembly GCF_000001405.40. Lineage (NCBI taxonomy): Eukaryota > Metazoa > Chordata > Mammalia > Primates > Hominidae > Homo > Homo sapiens. The sequence continues at coordinate 45,643 of NW_025791809.1, read as the reverse complement.
GACACTGACAGATCCAGATCCTTATACCCGCACCCAGATCCTACCTCCTCAGATACTGACAGACCCAGATCCTCACAATCCTAATGGGCCAGATCCTACCTTCTCAGACATGGACAGACCCAGATACCCATACTAGGGCCAGATCCTACCTCCTGACACTGACAGACCCAGATCCTCATACCTGTACCAGATTCAACCCCTCAGAGATGGAGAGACCCGCATCCGCATACGAGGGCCGGATTCCTACCTCCTCAGATATTGACGGACCCAGATTCTCATACCAGGGCCAGATCCTACCTTCTCAGACACTGAAAGAGCCAGATCCTTATATCTGCGCCAGATCCTACCTCCTCAGACATGGACAGACCCAGATCCTCATACTCATGCCAGATCCTACCTCCTAAGACATGGGTAGACCCAGACGCTACCTCCTCAGACATGGGGAGACACAATGCTCATACCAGGGCCAGATCTTACCTCTTCACACATTGACAGACCCAGATCTTCATGCCTATAACAGATTTCTACCTTCTCAGACATGGGGAGATCCAGATACTCATACCTGTACTAGATTCCTACCTTCTCAGATATTGAAAGACTCAGATCCTCATACCAGGGCCAGATCCTACCTTCTCAGACATGGACAGACCCAGATACCCATACCAGGGCCAGATCCTACTTCCTGACACTGACAGACCCAGATCCTCATACCTGTACCAGATTCAACCCCTCAGAGATGGAGAGACCCGCATCCTCATACGAGGGCCGGATTCCTACCTCCTCAGATATTGACGGACCCAGATCCTCATACCAGGGCCAGATCCTACCTTCTCAGACATTGAAAGAGCCAGATCCTTATATCTGCGCCAGATCCTACCTCCTCAGACATGGACAGACCCAGATCCTCATACCAGGGCCAGAGCTTACCTCTTCACACATTGACAGACACAGATCTTCATGCCAGTAACAGATTCCTACCTTCTCAGACATGGGGAGATCCAGATACTCATACCTGTACTAGACTCCTACCTCCTCAGATATTGAAAGACTCAGATCCTCATACCAGGGCCAGATCCTACCTTCTCACACATTGAAAGACCCAGATCCTTATACCTGCGCCAGATCCTACCTCCTCAGACATGGAGAGACCCAAATCCTCATACTCATGCCAGATCCTACCTCCTCAGACATGGGGAGACACAGATCCTCATACCTATACTAGATTCCTACCTCTTCAGATATTGAAAGACTCAGATCCTCATACCAGGGCCAGATCCTACCTTCTCAGATATTGAAAGACCCAGATCCTCATACCTGCGCCAGATCCTACCTCCTCAGATATGGACAGACCCAGATCCTCATACTCATGCCAGATCCTACCTCCTCAGACATGGACAGGCCCAGATCCTCACACTTTTACCAGATCCTACCTGCTCAGACATAGAGAGACCCAGATCTTCACACGTCTACCAAATCCTACCTCCTCAGACATTGACAGACTCAGATCCTCAAACCAGCGCCAGATCCTACCTCCTCAGATACTGACAGATCCAGATCCTTATACCGGCACCCAGATCCTACCTCCTCAGATACTGACAGTCCCAGATCCTCATAAGCCTCATACCAGGGCCAGATCCTACCTTCTCAGACATGGTCAGACCAAGATCCTCATACCAGGGCCAGATCCTACCTTCTCAGACAGACCCCGATCCTCATACCACGGACAGATCCTACCTCCTCACATATTGACAGACCCAGATCCTCATACCTGTACCAGATCCTACTTCCTCAGACATGGAAAGACCTAGATCCTTATACCAGGGCCAGATCTTACCCCGTAAGACACCAACAGATCCAGATCCTTATACCCACACCCAGATCCTACCTCCTCAGATACTGACAGACCCAGATCCTCACAATCCTAATGGGCCAGATCCTACCTTCTCAGACATGGACAGACCCAGATACCCATACTAGGGCCAGATCCTACCTCCTGACACTGACAGACCCAGATCCTCATACCTGTACCAGATTCAACCCCTCAGAGATGGAGAGACCCGCATCCGCATACGAGGGCCGGATTCCTACCTCCTCAGATATTGACGGACCCAGATCCTCATACCAGGGCCAGATCCTACCTTCTCAGACATTGAAAGAGCCAGATCCTTATATCTGCGCCAGATCCTACCTCCTCAGACATGGACAGACCCAGATCCTCATACTCATGCCAGATCCTACCTCCTAAGACATGGGTAGACCCAGATGCTACCTCCTCTGACATGGGGAGACATGATCCTCATACCAGGGCCAGATCTTACCTCTTCACAAATTGACAGACCCAGATCTTCATGCCTGTAACAGATTCCTACCTTCTCTAACAGGGAGAGACCCAGATACTCATACCTGTACTAGATTCCTCCCTCCTCAGATATTGAAAGACTCAGATCCTCATACCAGGGACAGATTCTACGTCCTCAGACATGGACAGACCCAAATCCTCATATTCATGCCAGATCCTACCTTCTCAGACATGGAGAGACCCAGAAACTCATACCTGTATTAGATTCCTACCTCCTCAGATATTGAAAGACTCAGATCCTCATACCAGGGCCAGATCCTACCTTCTCAGATATTGAAAGATCCAGATCCTCCCTCCTCAGATATGGACAGACCCAGATCCTCATAGTCATGCCAGATCCTACCTCCTCAGATATTGAAAGACTCAGATCCTCATACCAGGGCCAGATCCTACCTTCTCAGATATTGAAAGACCCAGATCCTCCCTCCTCAGATATGGACAGACCCAGATCCTCATAGTCATGCCAGATCCTACCTCCTCAGACATGGACAGGCCTGGATCCTCACACTTTTACCAGATCCTACCTGCTCAGACAGAGAGAGACCCAGATCTTCACACTTGTACCAAATCCTACCTCCTCAGAATTGACAGACTCACATCCTCATACCAGCGCCAGATCCTACCTCCTCAGACACTGACAGATCCAGATCCTTATACCGGCACCCAGATCCTACCTCCTCAGATACTGACAGTCCCAGATCCTCATAATCCTCCTATCAGGGCCAGATCCTACTGTCTGAGACATGAACAACCCAGAGCCTCATAAGGGGGCCAGATCCTACCTCCTCAGACACTGACAAAACAGATCCTCAGACCTGTACCCGCACCCAGATCTTACCTCCTCAGATACTGACAGACCCAAATCCTCATAAGCCTCATACCAGGGCCAGATCCTACCTTCTCAGACATGGTCAGACCCAGATCCTCATACCAGGGCCAGATCCTACCTCCTCAGACACTGGCAGACCCAGATCTTCATACCTGTACCAGATTCCTACCTCCTCAGATACAGACAGACCCAGATCTTCACACTTGTACCAGATCCTACCTCCTTGGACATAGACAGACCCAGATCCTCATACCTGTACCAGATTCATACCTCCTCAGATACTGACAGACCCAGATCCTCATACCTGTACCAGATCCTACTTCCTCAGACATGGAGAGACCCAGATCCTCATACCTGCACCAGATCCTACCTCTGCAAACATGGACAGACCCAGATGCTCATACTCATGCCAGATCCTACCTCCTCAGACAGAGGCAGATCCAGATCCTACCTCCTCAGACATGGGGAGACACAGATCCTCATACCAGGGCCAGATCTTATCTCTTCACACATTGACAGACCCAGATCTTCATGCCTGTAACAGATTCCTACCTTCTCAGACATGGAGAGACCCAGATACTCATACCTGTACCAGATCCCTACCACCTCAGATATTGAAAGCCTCAGATCCTCATACCAGGCCAGATCCTACCTTCTCAGACATTGAAAGACCCAGATCCTTATACCTGCGCCAGATCCTACCTCCTCAGACATAGAGAGACCCAGATCCTCACACCTGTACCAGATCCTACCTCCTCAGACACTGACAGACTCAGATCCTCATACCAGCACCAGATCCTACCTCCTCAGACACTGACAGACTCGATCCTCATACCGGCACCAGATCCTACCTCCTCAGATACTGACAGATCCAGATCCTCATAATCCTCCTATCAGGGCCAGATCCTACCTTCTCAGACATGGGCAACCCAGAGCCTCATATGGGGGCCAGATCCTACCTCCTCAGACACTGACAGACCCAGATCCTCATACCTGTACCTGCACCCAGATCCTAACTCCTCAGATACTGACAGACCTAAATCCTCATAAGCCTCATACCAGGGCTAGATCCTACCTTCTCAGACATGGACAGACCCAGATCCTCAAACCAGGGCTAGATCCTACCTCCTCGCATATTGACAGACCCAGATCCTCATACCTGTACCAGATCCTATTTCCTCAGACATGGAAAGACCCAGATCCTTATACCTGCACCAGATCCTACCTCTGCAGACATGGACAGACCCAGGTCCTCATATTCATGCAAGAGCCTACCTCCTCAGACACGGACAGACCCAGATCCTACCTCCTCAGACATGGGGAGACCTCGATCCTACCTCCTCAGACATGGACAGACCCAGACCTTACCTCCTCAGGCATGGAGAGACCCAGATCCTCATACTTGTACAATTCCAACCTCCTCAGACATTGACAGACCCAGATCCTCATACCAGGGCCAGGTCCTACCTCCTCAGACATTGACAGATGCAGATCTTCATACCTGTACCAGATTCCTACCTCTTCAGATATTGACAGACCCAGATCGTCATATTCATGCCAGATCCTACCTCCTCAGACATGGACAGACCCAGATCCTACCTCCTCAGATATGGAAAGACCCAGATCCTCATACTTGTACGATTCCTAACTCCTCAGACATTGACAGACCCAGATCCTCATACCAGGGCCAGGTCCTACCTCCTCAGACATTGACAGATGCAGATCCCATACCTGTACCGGATTCCTACCTCTTCAGATATTGACAGACCCAGATCCTCACACCAGGGCCAGATCCCACCTCCTAGGACACTGGAAGACACAGATCATCATACCAGGGCCAGATCACACCTCCTCAGATATTGACCGACCCAGATCCTTATACCTGCACCAGATCCTACCTCCTCAGGCATTGACAGATCCAGATCCTTATACTTGTGCCAGATCCTACCTCCTTAGACATGGACAGACCCAGATCCTCATACCAGGACCCGATCCCACCTCCTCAGATACTGATGGACACAGATCCTCATACTTGTACCCAGCCTCACTTCCCCAGACACTAGAAGACTCAGGGCTTCATACCTGTGCCAGATGCTATCTCCTCAGGCACTGGAAGCCCAAGGGCCTCAAACCTGAGTCCAAACTCACCTCCTCAAACACTGGAAGACGCAGATCCTCATATCTGTGCCAGGTGCTACCTCCTCAGACATGGAAGACCCATATCCTCATACCTGTGCCAGGTGCTACCTACTCAGACACGGGAAGACCCAGATCCTCATACCTGTGCCAGGTGCTACCTCCTCAGACACAGGAAGACCCAGATCCTCATACCTGTGCCAGGTGCTACCTCCTCAGACACGGGAAGACCCAGATACTCATACCTGTGCCAGGTGCTACCTCCTCAGACACTGGAAGACCCAGATTCTCATACCTGTGCCAGGTGCTACCTCCTCAGATATGGAAGACCCATATCCTCATACCTGTGCCAGATGCTACCTCCTCAAACATTGGGAAGACCCAGATCCTCATACCTGTGCCAGGTGCTACCTTCTCAGACACAGGAAGACCCAGATTTCATACCTGTACTAGATGTTACCTCCTCAGACACCAGCAGACCCAGGGCCTCATACCTGTAACCTGCTGTTATCTCCTCAGACACCAGCAGACCCAGGGCCTCATACTTGTACCAGATCCTACCTCCTCACACACTGGAAGACCCAGATGTCATACCTGTACTTAGCCCACCTCCTTGGATACCTCTTCCAGCACCACATACCTGTACCAGGCCCTACTTCCATAGACACTTGCAGACCCAGAGCCCCTTACCGGTGCCAGGACCCACCTTCTCAGTCTCATACTTGTGCCCAGGTATGCTTCCTTGGACAATGAAAGACCCAGCAGCTCTCTGCTACACTTGGCTAGGTCTCCTCAGATATTAAAAACCCACAGCTACATTTCTGTTCCCCAGCCCACCTGCTTGAACAGTGGCCCAGTGCCTCATACTTGTGCCAGGCCCCACATCCTCAGATACTGACAAACCCAGATCCTCACACCTGTGCCATTCTTTGTTGAACAATGAAGACTCATCACTTTGTACCTGTGCCCATTCCCAACTCCTCAGGTGGTACTGACAGATCCAGAACCTTAGACCTGTGCCTCACCCCACCTCCTGGACACTGACAGGCCCAGTGGGTCATATCTGGGCTTGACCGATCTTCTCGGCCTATCACCTAGGCCTATCATTCACACTGCACCTTCTCAAGCCACACCTGCAAGCTCCACTTGGTGCCATCAGAGTCCTCAGAACTTCACGGATGTCTTCCTAACAGCTGTTTATGGAGCACCTCCCACATTTCTAGCACAGGCAACGGACACAGAGTGTGGGAGAGAGACGTACATCAAATAATCATGCCAATAAATGTGAAACTGAGAAACAAGTGCTGAGGAGAAATTGGAACATGGTGCTGAGGCCACTTATAAAAGGAACCTGAGGGGTACTTGACCCTTGATCTCAAGAACGAGCAGGCATGACCCAGAGAAGCACTGAGGGAGCATTCCAGCAGCCATAACAGCACATGCAAAGGTCCCGTGGCCAAAGCAGTCTTTCTCAAGCGTGACAGAATTAAGGCCCACAGAAAATGATCTGAGTGACTTCTCAGTTCTCCCAAGGATGGTCCAAGACTAGTAACCTTCTAGACACGAAGGAGAGGTGCCCACTTATTACATCCAGTAGATGCCTTGGGCTGTGAGGGCTTAATTCTCTCCTGGAAGCCCACTGAGGCAGGGGGAAGCATAGCACCTTCCAGAGGATAAAGGAAGGGGTGGGGACCGCAGGGTGGAAGCTGAGAGGCACGGTGGGAGGACTGAGAACAGTCTGCGGCTAAGACAAGGACAGAAGCAAACAAGCCACTTTGAAGCCCCGGAGATGGACTGGGGAGTGCAGAGGACTCATTCTGGGAGCTCTCCAGTGTGGCCGAGAGGTTTCTGGCTTGGGCAATGAGATGACCGGTGGGGCCACTCACTTGGAAAGGCTCTGGGTTTCCGGGAACCTTACCTGACAGACGCAGTCCTACAGACTACATCATGCTTGACATAGGCTCTCACATCTCATCTAACAGATGCAGTTCTATTTTTTTCTTTTTTTTTTAAGAGACAGGGTCTTGCTCTGTTGCCCAGGTGGAGTGCAGTGGCATGATCACAGCTCACCGCAGCCTCAAACTCCTGGGCTCAAGTGATCCTCCCATCTCAGCCTCCCCAGTAGCTGGGACTACAGGCACACACCACCATGCTTGACTATTTTTTAAATTTTTTGTAGAGATGGGGTCTTGCTCTGTTGTCCAGGCAGGTTTTGAACACCTGGCCTCAGCCTCCCATCTCAGCCTCCCGAAGCTCAGGGATTACAGCCATGAGCCACCACACCCAGCCCAGACTCAGCTCTAGAAACTAAACTTCAGCACACAGCCAGCCCTCTGGCTGACAGAGTCCAGGCTGCTCACCTTGGCCGAGAACAGGTCCTCAGATCCCAGTTTTGTGACAGCCCAGCAATGCCAAGCAGTGTCTGACCTGAGCCTCCGAACCCTCAATCTGCAGACATGGGTCTCTAGACCTCACCTTTAAGTGCAGTGGCCTCTGAGACCATACATTATAGATGCAGCTCCTCAGTCAGTTCAATGTCCTGGGCCTAACCTGCCCCAGTGCCCCAGATCTCACCTTATCTAACCATCATCTACCTTTTTCCTCACTTTACTCACTTTCTTTTTTTTTTGAGACAGGGTCTCTCACTCTGTCGCCCAGGCCTGAGTGTAGTGGCATGATCTCAGCTCACTGCAACCTCTGCCTGCCAGGTTCAAGCAATTCTCCTGCCTCAGCCTCCTGAGTAACTGGGATTACAGACATGTGCCACCATGCATGGCTAATTTTTGTATTTTTAGGAGATGGGGTTTCACCGTGTTGACCAGACTGGTCTCAAACTCCTGACCTCAAGTGATCCACCCACCTCGGCCTCCCAAAGTGCTGGGATGACAGGCGTGAGCCACTGCGCCTGGCAACTTTCCTCACTTTTAACTCAGACCCTGTGTCAACTGGAGCACAATGCCATCTTGGATGCAGACCAACACCATGGACTGGTTACAGATCCTCAGCCCTCTGTATTACCCTGAGCTCTGTCTATCATACCTGACCAGGGTGCTGAGAACAGATACCTGTCCCAGCTGATCTTTAGGGTTCCCTAGACATCACCAGGCAGACCCAGGTACAAACACCTACAATGACTACGGCTTTCCCTTGATATAAGAGCCCACACTACTCACCTAATTGTGTCTGACCCTACCACCGAAGGTCTCACCTGTGTCTGACCCACCTTCCCCAGGCCTGGCCAGCCTCACCATTATGCATTCCTGTGCTAGACCCCACCCACTTCACCTAACAAGCCCAGCAGTACTTTTGTGCTTGAACCCAGGTGTCAAGAACCCACCTGAGACCATGTTTATACAACCTCTGTGGAACTGAGCCTGGATCCACAGACTCACTGCTAATGTCAGGTCAACATACCAGCACTGAGCCTGAATCCACAGACTCAGTGCCAGTGCTAGGTCAACATACCAGCACTGAGCCTGGATCCACAGACTCACTGACAACACCAGGTCAACATACCAGCACTGAGCCTGGATCCATGGACTCACTGCCAATGTCAGCTAAACATACCAGCACTGACCCTGGATCCACAGACTCACTGACAACACCAGGTCAACATGCCAGCACTGAGCCTGGATCCACAGACTCACGACAACACCAGGTAAACATACCACCATTGAGCCTGGATCCGTAGACTCACTGACACAACCAAGTAAATATACCAGCACTGAGCCTGGATCCACAGACTCACTGACATAATCAGGTAAACATACCAGCACTGAGCCTGCATCGGCAGACTCACTGACAACACCAGATAAACATACCAGCACTGAGCATCGATGCAATGGTTTCACCTGGGAGACCTAGTTCTGCCTATTTGTGTCCAACTCCAGTGCCTCAGGCTACAGAGTTATATACCTGTCAAAGATGGGTTCCAGACATCTCAGCTGATAGACCAGGCTTCACATAACCTGACCCCTCACACCTTGACTGACAGACCCGGTTCCCTTGCCTAAGCCCAACTCAGATTCCTTACAGCCTCCCAGGGTCCAGCTTTATTTATGTGAGCCTGGCCTCGGCAGTCCACATCCTGTGTCTGGCTTGGCTTTTCATGTCTCACAGACAGATCCAATGCTGCCAATCTCTGCTTAACGTCAGCACCAATGAGCTCACTGAGGAGCCTCAGACCTCATCAAATGGAACATCTCTGCCTACCTGTGCTCCCCAGCTGAGATGCGTAGTTCTACCAACTTGTGACTAACCCACTGTCCCCAGGCCTAAGACTGAGTCAGCACAACTAAGCCAGAACCACGCACCAATGACCTCACCTGCAAGACCCCAGCTGTATGTCTCTCTAGCTACAAAGTCCTTGCTTGAGAGAGATACATCTACCTACCCACGTCTAACTTAGGGGCCACAGACCTCCTAGGAAACCCACAATGTTCTGCCTGCCTGTAGAGACCCCCATGCTATGGGGTTGACCTGGGAGGCCGCTCTATACACCTAGGCTCAACTCTGGTTCTTCAGGCTTCACCTCAAACACCCAGGGGCACATTCCTGTGCCTGAATCCAACTCCTGAAAGAGCCAACTCTATCTACCTGCATTCAACCTAACTCCTCAGCTCTCCTTCAAGAGACTACTCCTGGCAGACCAGTTTTGTCTACCTGCCTGACCCTGGCTCCTCAGACCACACATGGTGGGCCAGCTCTGCCTACCTGTGCTTGACCCTGGGTTCTCAGACCACACCTGAAAGGCTATCTCTACCTACCTGTGCTTGAACCTGGGTTCTCAGACCACACGTGAAAGGCTATCTCTACCTACCTGTGCTTGAACCTGGGTTCTCAGACCACACCTGAAAGGCTATCTCTACATACCTGTGCTTGACCCTGGGTTCTCAGACCACACCTGAAAGGCTATCTCTACCTACCTGAGCTTTTCGCTGGGTTCTCAGACCACACCTAGTGACCCAGACTACCTACCTGTACTTGATCCTGGCTCTTCAGACCATACCTGGCAGGCAGCTCTACCTACCTGAGTCTGACCCTGGCTCCTCAGACCATACCTGGTGGGCCAGCTTTGCCTACCTGTGCTTACCCTGGCTCCTCAAACCACACCCAGTGGGCCAGCTCTACCTACCTGTAGTTGACCTTGGCTCCTTAAACCACACCTGAAAGACTATCTCTACCTACCTGTGTTTGACTCTGGCTCTTTGGAGTACACCTGGCATGCCAGATCTACCTACCTGAGCCTGATGTTGGCTCTTCAGATCATACTTGGTGGGCCAAGTCTGCCTACCTGTGCTCAATGCTGGCTCCTGGGCTTGTGCCTGGTGGACCAGCACCCCCTACCTGCATGTGATGAGGGTTCCTGAGCTTGTACCTTGTGGGCCAGCTCTGCCTACCTCTACTTCACACCTCAGCTGCTTACACCTCATCCAACACACTTGGTTCTTCTTACCTGGGCTTGACTATGACTTTTTAGGTCTCATGAACACACTCAGCTTTGTGAAGCTGCCCTGATCCTGGCTCCAAAGACCTTACCTGCCAAACCCTGTTCTACACACCTGTGTTTAACTCCCGTTCTTCAGACCTGATAGACCCGAAGATGTACCTGGGCCAGGCTCCAAAGACCTCACCCAAGAAACTCAATTCCACATACCTACATACCTGTACCTGGCCACAGCTCCTCAACCTCACCCAGGAGAAGAACTTCTACCCACCCATCTTTTTTCTTTTTTTTTTTTTTTTGTTTTTTGTTTGAGACAAAGTTTCACTCTTGTTGCCCAAGTTGAAGTGCAGTGGCATGATCTCGGCTCACTGCAAACCCCACCTCCCGGGTTCAAGCAATTCTCCTGCCTCAGCCTCCTGAGTAGCTGGGATTACAGGCGTGTGCCACCACACCCAGCTAATTTTTGTATTTTTTAGTAGAAATGGGGTTTCACCCCGTCACCATGTTGGCCAGGCTGGTCTTGAACTCCTGACCTCAGATGATCCACCCACCTTGGCCTCCCAAAGTGCTGGGATTACAGGCATGAGCCACCACACCCAACCCCCGCTTTTTTTTTTTTTTTTTTTTGGAGATAGTCTCACTGTCACCCAGGCTGGAGTGCAGTAGCACGATCTTGGCTCACTCTGCCTCCCCAGTTCAAGCAATTCTGGTGCCTCAGCCTCCCAAGTAGCTAGGACTGTAGGCATGCACCACCATGCCTGGCTAATTTTTGTAGTTTTAGTAGAGACGGGGTTTCGCTATGCTGGCCAGGCTGGTCTCGAGCTCTTGACTTCAACTGATCTGCCTGCCTTGGCCTTCCAAAGTGCTGGGATTATAGGTGTGAGCCACTGTGCCTGGCCTACCCATCTGTCTTGACACCACCTGGGAAATCCAGACCTGCTCACTGTGCCAGATCCCAGCTCCTCAGACCTCCTGAGAGACCTGGCTCTATCCACCTGCCTTCACTTCATATCCTCAGAGGTCATCTACCACATCCAGGTCTTTCTAGATGAGCCTAATCCGGACTCCTTGGGCCTCACCTGATAGATCCGTTCTACCTGTGCCTGACCTCAACTGCAGGACAGTTTAATTGGTTTGACCATGGCTGTTCCGGTCAACCTATCTTTGCATGCTCCTGGTTTCATAGATGTCACCTGACAAACTCTACCCACCATGCTTAACACAGCTTCTCGGTCTTGGGATACAAACCAGAGCCTGACCTCAGTGGCTCAGACCTTAACCTGTGAGACCCAAAAATACATACCTGTGTCTCACCTTAACCCCTGAAACCTCGCCTGCTAGATCTGCTCTACGTACCTCGACCAGACCCAGGCTTCATCCACCTTTCTGATGGATGCGGTTCGTCATCCCTTTGTCTGACCCCATCCCTTTGTCTGGTCTCTTCCCAGGGGACCCAGGCTCACCCACCAGAGCTGCTCAGACATCGCCCAAGGACACAGCTCCAACCTGGACCCAATCACAGATTTTCAGCCCTCACTTGTCAGACCCAGCTCGACCTGTCTGCCTATCTTTAGCTCCAACGTCCTTACCAGACTGGTCCAGTTCTGCCTACCTGAGTACAGTCTTGGCTCCTCAGGCCTCCCCTAGAAACCCAGCCATACAAACCTGTCTGATTCCAGCTCCTAGGACCTCAGACAGACGCGGCTCTGAAAGGCTGCATTATACACACCTAACCTGAACAGACACTTTCCTCACACATGACAGATCCCTGGCTGCTCACCTCGGCCTGAGGGAGCCTGGTGAGAGCCCAGTGTTGACAAACACTGTCTGACTGGCTCAGCCTTGATGTCTGCCCTGTAGACCCAGGTCTCTGGCCCTTTACCCAACCTGAGCCACTCAGACCGCACCCACCCAGCACAGCTCCTCATGCCACCTGCCTGCCTCACCTGCCCCAGCTCCCCTGTCCTTGCCTCATATCACCAGGTACATTCCTACCTCTCCCGCATCTGGGCTCTGCAGACCCTGATGCCACAGACTTGGACTTCAGTCACAAATTCTCAGAGGCCTCTGACGCCCTGAGCTCTGCCCATCACACCCAGTCAGGATGCTGAGAAGCAGGTGCTGACCTGTGTGTCCCTAATCCTGGGTTCTAAACTTGTGCAATCAGCCACCCACTACCTGATCCTCACTTTTCGGAACCGGCCAGAGATCCCAGCGTGCACACCTGTCCCATGCCATAGGTCTACACCACCTCCCACAGAGCCCGGCTGACATATGCACATACATAGCTTTGGCTCCTCAGACTTCACCTGACAGAACCACCTCTAAATACCTGCCTCTCCTCTGGAATTCACAGACCTATGGGTCCCTCTCCTGTCCTGGCTCCTCTTCAGAACTCACCTGGACCTGCTCTGGCTCTGCTTCAGGCCTCTCCAGCCAAAACTGGCCCTGTGGCGTGCGCTGACCCTGGCCGAGCCCTGAGAGACCCCATGGTTTCCCACCACACCCCTGCCTGATCCCGACACCCATGGCTGCCGCAAAACTGGCCCTGGCGGACCAAGAATTACCTCTTCTACATACCCCTACCAGACGGGACTCTTCTGATCTCACCTGAGGGCCGGCACTGCATCCCTAGGCCTGAGCTGATGGCTGTAGCTCACCCGAGACCCCACCTGCAGGAACTTCGCCTGCTCCTATCCCTGGGTTCTTCAGATATCACCTTCTTGATTCAGCAGGATACACTCTAGTAACTCAGGCAGGTCCCTCCTCCAGCCGTTGTGGGCTGTCTAGCCTGGCCCAGGAGGCCTCCACTTAGGTCTCACCAGCCAGCCCTGGCCCCATGTTCCTGTGTCCAGCTATCATTCCTAGGCCTTACCTGGGAGGCCAGACCCATCCTCTCCTTAAGCCACACCCTAACTCATCTCTACATGCTGGGTGGTGACAAGCAAGGACACCCCGATCTGCTTGGCTCCTTGGCTGGCAGCAGCACCCACACATCCCTGCCCACCACCTGCTCAGGCTCCAGATCCCAAGGAGGAGGTGGAAGGTGCCTGCCCTCCATTATCAGGCATGCAACATTTATTAGAAGCCGCACAGTCTCTCTTGACCAGTGTTCCGCATCTGAGCCACAGGATGCAGAAAATGACTTGAGTGATTCTCGTCAATTCTTCCAAGGATGGTATGTAACTAGTCTCATTCTAGAAAGAAGTTAACTCATTATACACAGTGGATGGCTTAAGGGATTAGGGCTTCATTCTCTCCCAGACCCTGGTAGTAAAAGGCCTTTAGAGCTTTCAAAGGAATGAGGTTATGTCTGTGGATGCCATCACCAAGCAAAGGGCCTCTGGTCCAAATGCCTGGAGACAGCCCCAGGTGGGAAAACCACCAAATGGGCAATGCCCTCTCTGCTGCGCCTGCCACAGCGTTAGAGCCCTGCACGTAAGCCCGGCCATGCCCACAGCATTCACAGTGCCTGCATCACACCCTGCACTGCACCCCTGCACCCTGGGCTTCACAGTCAGAGCCCTCCTCACACCACTGCTGAGCTCAGGCAAGTGCACAAGGAAAGCTGTGGCTCACTGCTCGGCTCCAGCAGAGGTGGTCCCATGGACCACCTGTTGCTACAGAGGGGTCGGCAGCCCTGTCACTCAAGGCAGGGTTTGCTCTGCAAGCTGCCCCAGCCTGGCGCCTCCTCTACGCCACCCCCCCAGCTCCTCCTGCAGCTCCTGTTGCTCCTTTCCAGGCCTACCCGGTCATACCTCATGCCTCACCCTGCCCTTGGCCTTTACAGATGGTGGCTGCAGTTCAGAGAAAGGTCATCACTGAGAATAACTCACAACCTCAACTCTGTGAGCGTGGCAAGGGGGACTCGGGTTACCCCACAGTGGGTGTTGCAGGCAGGCACCCAAGGGAGTGTCATGTGGCCCTGCAAGCTCAGCCCGCCCTCAGGTGGAAGTGGAGCCCTCATCCTGCCTGGGTTGCTCTTGCCCTCCAAGCCTCTCTGAGGGCCTCTCTACCTTTCCCCAAGCTAGGTATGCAGCAGGTACTCAATAAACACTGACCTGACCTCATGGGCCTCTCAACAGCCATGACTTGGCAAAGGACACTTAATTCACCCAGTGCAGAAGTGCTTGTACTTACATCCCAGAACTCGAACATGTTTTGAGGGTCAATTCCAAACTCCTTCACTTTGGTCTACAAAAAAAAAAACAAAGGGAGAGAAATGCAAAGAAGCATTTGCTAGCGGGATGGGAACAGGAGCTCCGGGAGGCAGGGAGCTGTGCTCCGTGAGCTGAGCCTCACCTTCCCCAGAGCCAGGGATGGGGCAGGGCTGGAGCAGCCTGTGAGTCGAGGGCAGGGCCCAGGATCTGCCCACCCCAAGCTGGACACCAGATCAGTCCATGACCAGCACGCCAGTGACGTTGTGCCTGCAAAGCCCCCTGCTGAGGGCAGCTGTAACCCCGTGTGAGGACCTGGCCCACACACTGCTCTGCAACAGCTCTCACCCAGGCCTGCCTGGGACACCAGAGCATGATACCCCTGGACATCTGGGAACCGAACCTAGGACTGGGACCCAAGTGTGGGCAGGGGCCACCTACCAGGCCAGGCAAACAAACACAGGCTGAACAGCCACCCAGCCCTTCCCATGTGTGGGAGGGTGACTGCACCAGGAAGCTCTGAGGAGCCATCAGGTATTCTGGTCCCCAGGGCAGACAGGGCCAGCAACTCCTTACCTATTCCACATAGGAGGAGAAGCCCTACTGACCAGTCAGTTGCAGGCAGGCAACAGTGCTATGGTTAGCCAGCCTTATGGCGTCCTGCTGCAGCTGGGTAGGCACTGGAGGCAGAGATGTGGGGATGATGGTGGAGGGGGTGGGAGGGAGATGTGGGTGTAGTCCCCAGCTCTGACACAGCACAGTGCCCACTGGCTGACTGCTGCTGTCACTCCTGGAGCATCCCTCACTCTGTCATGCCCTGCTGAGCCTGCACAACCTCGAGGCCAGGCAGACTGTGAGAACTTGGAGACAGGAGACCCAGGTTCTAATCCTGGCATCACCTACTCATACAGTCACTAAGTGGGCCGGGTACAGTGGCTCATGCCTATAATCCCAACACTTTGGTAGGCCGAGGTGGGCAGATCACTTGAGGTCAAGAATTCGAGACCAGCCTGGCCACCATGGAGAAAACCTGTCTCTACCAAAAATACAAAAATTACCTGGACGTGGTAGTGGGCGCCTGTAATCCCAGAATCAGCAGGCTGAGGCATAAAAATTACTTGAACCCAGAAGGCAGAGGTTGCAGTGAGCCAAGATCGCACCACTGCACTCTAGCCTGAGTGACAGAGTGACCTTGTCTCAAAAAATAAGCTGGACATGGTGGCACACACCTGTAATCCCAGCACTTTGGGAGGCTGAGGTGGGCAGATCACTTAAGGTCAGGAGTCAGAGACCAGCCTGGCCAACGTGGTGAAACCCCGTCTCTACTAAAAATACGAAAATAGCTGGGCATGGTGGCGTGCACCTGTAATCCCAGCTACTCGGGAGGCTAAGGCAGGAGAATCGCTTGAACCTGGAAGGCAGAGGTTGCAGTGAGCCAAGATCACGCCACTGCACTCCAGCCTGGGCAACAGAGTGAGACTGTCTTAAAAAAAAAAAAAAAAAAAAAAAAAAAAAAAAACCACACACACTAAGTAGGGGGCAAAATGTCACCTCCCTTCATTGGGGCTTTATGTCCTTAAGTGAAAAATGGAATGCATCCTCTACCCCTACCTAGCATGTCACATTTGGGGAGATGCTGGGCACAAAGGCCTAGGAAGGTCATGTGTATGAAGGGTTCTGTGTATCAGTCAGGCCTGGGAGACGGAAGAAGGGGTTATCGTGATCCCACTGACTCCAAGCCTCCCTCCTCAAAGCTGCAGAGGTTGAATGGGTAAATGCGGAAAAGGCAAGGAAGGCTTGCAGCCCACAGGCAACCAAACCTTCCATACCATCAGCCAAGCCAAGATCCACCAGACCTACGAACCGCGTCTCTGAGAGGCCATGACCTGGACATGCTGGGCACTCCCAGGAAGGCAGTACAGGGGACCACGGGGGCACTTACTGTGTTAGTAGACAGGGCAACAAAGTGCTTCGCCACTGCAGAAGGCTACAAGAGACAGAGCCAAGTTACCACAGCCAGCCCAGGGAGACAAAGGGTAGTCACTTCCCATCACTAGAGGAACCAAGGCCCTGCATGGGACTGAGATTCCCAGTCCTTGATTCTGAGACTGTTGGAGAAGGCCCACATCGAGGTCAAGGTCAAGAAAGCAGACAGGTCACAGGCCGCCTGCTCATCCCATCTTACAAGCATACGGGGCTCAGGGACGTCCCTCCCCTATAAAATAGGTGTGGCCAAGAGTTCCTGCAGCGCCAAGGGCCTGCAGAGAAAGGGCCATGCAAGGGCTGTCAGCCAGCGAGAGCAGGTTCTGTCACATCTGCAAGGCTGGGTCTGACAAAGCCAAGATGAACAATCATCTCATCTAGCAAAGGCAGGCACCGGCAAGGCCGCCTTCACTTCCAACTTCAGGAGAAACACGGCCAGACTTGGTCACTCAGGGGCCCACCCTGCTCTTCCCAGCCCAGAGGCTAACCACGAGGAAGGCCCTATAGCCCACTCACATCCTTGGCCGCCTGGAGAAACCACTCCTTCGCCGTCTCTGCATTCGTGATGGTCTCCTGGGTAGTAAAGGTCTGCAACCAAAGAGAACAGCAGTGGGCGCCCGAGCTTAGGGGTGGGTGCAGGCCTTGAGCCAGGGTTCAGCAGTAGAGGCCAAGGCAATGCCCAGCTGTCCCATGGAGCAGTATTTGCAGGTCAGTGACAGTGACGCCACATAACCTCCTGAGATTCCAGCTCTTTAAAACCAGAGGAGGGGGGACGGTAAACACACCCCCCAACCCTAAGCCTGCAGGTCAAAGGCCGCAGCTTCTCCCCTGAGGGGCTGCAGTCAACCTGAGGCTCTCTTCGGCCCAGGCTGGAAGGTATCTCAGAATTCAGATGGAATTCTTCATATTTTATGTACATTCATGTGAGTAAATAGAACATAAATAAAAACAAACAAAACCCCTCTATTATCAGGGCATGGCTCTGGGATCAGAAAGGAGCAAGCATGGCTGGGCATGGCGGCTCAAGACTGTAATCCCAGCACTTTGGGAGGCCAAGGGGGGGTGCATCACCTGAGGTCAGGAGTTCAAGACCAGCATGGCCAACATGGCAAAAGCCCATCTCTACTAAAAAATAATAATAATAAATAAATAAATAATAAAATTAGCCAGGCGTGGTGGTGTGTGCCTAGTCCCAGCTACTTGGGAGGCTGAGGCAGGAGAATCGCTTGAAACCTGGGAGACGGAGATTGCAGTGAGCCGAGATCACGCCACTACACTCCAGCCTGGGTGACAGAGCCAGACTCTGTCTCAAAAACAACAACAAGAAAAGGAGCAGGCATAAAGGACAGGTTTGTAAGAAAGTGGCGAGCAGTCCCAGGCTGAGCAGAGATGCCGCAAGGCGAGCGGGTGTGGTCAGGACACAAAGGTTCAAACTGATGTGTTCAGGATTTCATCAGTCAACCTTATTTGCTGCTAGGCATGGAAACAGTCTAGGGCAGCTGTACTGACCTGATCCACAAACCATGGTTCACTCGGAACCCACCAAAAGGGACCAATGGCCAGGGGGATGGCAAGACAGCTGTCCCTCCCCACCCCAACACACACAGGGCCAGGGGCCGGGCAGTTTTCGGCACTCATACCTTGGAGGCAATGATGAACAGGGAGGACTCGGGGTTCAGCTGGGCCAGGGTTTTGGCAATGTGAGTTCCATCAATGTTGGAGACATACCAGACGCGGGGACCTCCTGAAGAGTATGGCTTAAGGGCTTCAGTCACCATGAGGGGCCCCTGCGGGGAGACATAGCATCAGAGAATAAGAATTCAGGGCCCACGAAAAGTGGAGACAGCCAGGTCCCATCCCTGGAGAAAGTAAAGACCTGAGTGGGACCAACAGTGCCCAGACTCCCACCCTACCCCAAGGCAGTTTTCTCCTCACCAGGTCGGAGCCGCCAATGCCAATGTTGATGACGTCCGTGATGGTCTTGCCTGTGTACCCCTTCCAGTCACCGCTCCGGACACGCTGGCACAGGGGCGAAGATGCCATCAGCCCAAACCCCCAGGCATAATCCGCTGCTCAAAAACATCATTACTGCCGTGTCCTGGTACCTCAGTCCCAGCTTTCAGGCCCTCGCAGGTGCCTCTATTTTTTTGTTTTTAATTTACCATATATATATATATATATATATATATATATATATATATATATATATTTTTTTTTTTTTTTTTTTTTTTTTTTTTGAGATGAAGCCTTGCTCTGTTGCCCAGGCTGGAGTGCAGTGGCATGATCTCGGCTCCCTGCAATCTCTGCCTCCCAGGTTCACGTCATTCTCCTGCCTCAGCCTCCTGAGTAGCTGGGACTACAGGCGCCCGCCACCACACCCAGCTAGTTTTTTGTATTTTTAGTAGAGACAGGGTTTCACCGTGTTAGCCAGGATGGTCTCGATCTCCTGACCCTGTGATCTGCCCGCCTCAGCCTCCCAAAGTGCTGGGATTACTGGCTTGAGCCACCGCACCCAGCTATTTATTTTTAATTTTTTTTTTGAGACAGAGTCTCCACTTTCTGGGTTCTAACAATTCTCATGCCTCAGTCTCCTGAGTAGCTGGGACTACAAGCCTGCGCCACCAGCATGCCTAGCTAATTTTTTTGTATTTTTAGTAGGGACGAGGTTTTGCCATGTTGGCCAGGCTGGTCTCGAATTACTGGCCTCAAGTGATCTGCCCAGCTCGGCCTCCCAAAGTGCTGGAATTACAGGTGTGAGCCACCGCGCCTCGCTATTTACTTATTTTTAAAACTGTGCCTTAGGGGCCAGGCAGGGTGGCTCAAGGCTGAGACAGGAGGATTGCTTGAGTCCAGGAAGTTGAGGCTGCAGCAAGCCAAGATCGCAACACTGCACCTCCAGCCTAGGTGACAGAGGAAGACCCTGACTCCAAAAACAGAACAAAATGCTCTGCTTTAGTCTTTTTTTTTTTTTTTTTGAGACAGGGTCTCACTCCGTCGCCCAGGCTGGAGTACAACGGCACGATCTCAGCTCACTGCAGCCTCCGCCTCCAGGCTCCAGGGTTCAAGCAATTCTCCTGCCTCAGCCTCCCAAGTAGCTGGGATTACAGGCACCTGCCACCCTGCCCAGCTAATTTTTAGTATTTCCAGTAGAGATGGGGTTTCGCCGTGTTGGCCACGCTGGTCTCAAACTCCTGACCTCAGGTGATCCACCTGCCTCGGCCTCCCAAAGCGCTTGGATTACAGGCATGAGCCACCACGCAAAGCCTATTTTATTTTTTGTAGAGACAGCGTCTTGCTACGTTGCCCAGCCTGGTCTCTAACTCCTGGCCTCAAATAATCCTCCCATCTTGACCTCCCAAAGTGTTGGGATTACAGGCGTGAGCCACTACACAAGGCATAGGAGTCTCTGGAGACCACACTGGTCCCTGCCACACTCACCACCAACTAGACTCTTTCCTGGTTACAACAGTGAGACATCCCTACCTTACAGCGACACTGTCAGAATTTGCAAAACCAGGGATAACTCGGCAGAATCTGCTATGCCAGAGACCAAGAGATGTGAAATGTTGAAAACTGTGACTGGGCTATGCTGGGGAAAGGAGTATCAGACCCGCAGCCAGTCTCCAATCAGACACCAGTGATCCTTGCTTCCTGGAATTCATGCCTCTGCATAGCTTCCGCCTGTGCTGGGAGGGGTGACCTATGCACCCATCCAGAGACTGCAAAAAGGGGTGAAATGTGACTTCAGAAGTGAGTTCAGAGAACGTGCAGTTTCTGCTTTGCTCTCTTGGATGACTCGCTTTGGGGAAGCTGTCTATCATGTTGTGAAGACATTCAAACAGTTTCATAAAGAAGCCCACGCGGCAGCGAACTAAGGCCTTTTTCCAAAAGTCACAGCCAACTCGCTTCCTGTGTATGGGACACTTTAGAGGGGGGTCCTCCAAACCCATCAAAACTTCCGATAACTGGGGCGCTGGCCAACATGTTGACTACAGCCTTATGAGAGATCCCCAAACCAAGACCAACCAGCTAAGCCGCTCCCAAACTTCTGACCCACAGACACTGTGAGAGGTAATAAAAGTTTACTGCTAGGCCGGGCATGGTGGCTCACACCTGTAATCCTGGCACTTTGGGAGACCAAGGCAGGCAGATCACAAGGTCAGGAGTTCGAGACCAGCCTAGTCAACATGGTGAAACCCCGTCTCTGCTAAAAAAAAAAAATACAAAAATTATCCAGGCATGGTGGCGTGTGCCTGTAATCTCAGCTACTCGGGAGGCTGAGGCAGGAGAATTGCTTAAATCCAGGAGGCAGAGGTTGCAGTGAGTGGAGATCACGCCATTGCACTCTAGCCTGGGCGACAGAGCAAGACTCCGTCTTAAAAAAAAAAAAAAAAAGTGTATTGCTGTTTTAACCCAAGTTTTGATGTCATTTGTTATACAATGATAGATAACTAATACAGATTTTGGTATCAGAAGTACAGTGTGGTCATAATAAAAACCTAAATATGCAGGCCGGACTCAGTGGCTCATGCCTATAATCCCAGCACTTACTGGGAAACTGAGGCAGGAGGATCACTTGAGGCCAAGAGTTTAAAACTAGCCTGGGCAACATAGCAAGACGTCATCTCTACAAAAAATAAAAAAGTAGCCAGGCATGGTGACATGTGCCTGTAGTCCCAGCAACTTAGAAGGTTGAGGTGGGGAATTGCTTGAGCCCAGGAGTTCGAGGCTGCAGTGAGCAGTGACTGCACCACTGCACTCCAGCCTGGGCGACAGTGTGAGACCCTACCTCAAAAAAAAAAAAAACAAAGAAAAAAAGAAAAAAGAAAGAAAAGAAAAGAAATAATTATCCCATACATACCAGTCATCCCATGCCCACCTCACCATTGTATGTTGGGTGTGTGAGGGGTAATTTGTCTCTTTAAATTCTCATGTCTTCAGATTGAAAGGAACTGTACTAAAGGAAATGCAGGTACTACTACACCTGTACTTGACAAAATGAGGTTCTAGACTTCTAACAGACTTCTAATACTGTAACAGAATATGGACTTAGGAGAAAGTGAGTGGGGTATCTGTGTGTGGAAGGAACAAAATCAATCACTAGGCGCCAGAAGCGGGACTATGATAGTCCCCCACCTTCTAAGATGGTGACCAGTGGTCCTTGTCTCCTGGCATTAACCCACTGATGCAGTCCCTTCCCATGATGACCAGAGCTGATCTGTAACACCAACGGGGTATTATAGAAATCAAAGAGTGTAGCCGGGCGTGGTGGTTCACCCTGTAATCCCAGCATTTTGGGAGGGCAAGGCAGGCGGATCACTTGAGATCAGGAGTTCAAGACCAGCCTGGCCAAAATGGTGAAACCCCATCTCTACTAAAAAAATTTAAAAAAAAAAAAAAAAAAAAAAAAGGCGGGCATGGTGGCGGGCACCTGTAATCCCAGCTACTCAGGAGGCTAAGGCAGGAGAATCGCTTGAGCCGGGGACC
The DNA here is from genome assembly GCF_000001405.40 of Homo sapiens. Lineage (NCBI taxonomy): Eukaryota > Metazoa > Chordata > Mammalia > Primates > Hominidae > Homo > Homo sapiens. The sequence goes on along the minus strand of NW_025791809.1, from coordinate 23,246 downwards.
GGAGGTTGCAGTGAGCCAAGATCACGCCATTGTACTCTGGCCTGGGTGACAAGAGTGAAACTCTGTCTCAAAAAAATAAAAATAAAAAAAAGAAAGAATGTGAATCCTGATATTAGGTCACAAAAGACCTCCAGGCATCTGCCTTACTCTCTATTGGATCACTCACTCTGGGAGAAATAAGCTGCCTTGTCATGAGGACACTCGAACTGTCTGTGCCTCCCAAAGGCAGCACTGCTAGTGAGCCATCTTCAAAGCAGACCCTCCAACCCCCATGAAGCCTTCAAATGACCACATCCTTAGCCAACATCTTGACTGCAACCTTAGAATATCAGAGCCACTACACCAAACACAGCCACTGCAAATTCCCCACATAAAGAGACGGTGATTGTTGCTTCTAGTTGCTAAATTTTGGAATAATTTCCCACACATCAATAAAAAATTACTATACACTAATAAGATCCAGCAATTTTCTTTTAATTTTTTTTTTTTTTTTTTTGGAGATGGAATCTTGCTCTGTCACCCAGGCTGGCATGCAGTGGTGCTATCTCAGCTTACTGAAACCTCCACCTCCCGGGTTCAAGCGATTCTCCTGCCTCAGCCTCCCAAGTAACTGGGACTACCGGCATGCACCACCATGCCCAGTTATAAATTTTTTTTTTTTTTTTGAGACAGAGTCTCGCTCTGTCACCCAGGCTGGAGTGCAGTGGCGCCATCTCAGCTCTCAGTAACCTCCACCTCATGGGTTCAAATGATACTGCTGCCTCAGTCTCCTGAGTAGCTGGAATTATGGGCGCCTGCCACTACTCCTGGCTAATTTTGTTTGTATTTTTAGTAGAGACGGGTTTTGCCATGTAGGCCAGGCTGGTCTCAAACTCCTGACCTGAAGTGATCCGCCCACCTCGGCCTCCCAAAGTGCTAGGACTACAGGTGTGAGCCACAGCACCCAGACTATAAATTATTTTTTAATTAAAAAAAAAAAATAGGCTGGGCACGGTGGCTCACGCCTATAATCCCAGCACTTTGGGAGGCTGAGGTGGTCAGATTATGAAGTCAGGAGTTCGAGACCAGCCTAGCCAACATGGTGAAACTCCATCTCTACTAAAAACACAAAAATTAGCTGGGTGTGGTGGCAGGTACCTGTAATCCCAGCTACTCGGGAGGCTGAGGCAGGAGAATCGCTTGAACCTGGGAGGCGGAGGTTGCAGTGAACCGAGATCAGGCCATTGCACTCCAGCCTGGGTGAAAGAGAGAGACTCTGTCTCAAAAAACAAACAAACAAAAAAGAGACAGGGTCTAGGTTGCCCAAGCTAGTCTTGAACTCCTGGCCTGCAGTGATCCGATTCACCCTTCCAAAATGCTGGGATTATACAAGAGCCACTGCACCTTGCTGGGTATTTTTTAGTTTTGTTTTAACGACAGGGTCTCGCTCTGTTGCTCGACCTGGAATGTAGGAGTATGATCATAGCTCACTGCAGCTTCAAATTCCTGGGCTCAAGCAATTCTCCCGCCTCAGCCTCCTAAGCAGCCAGGACTATAGGTACACACCACCACAGCTGGCTAATTTTTAAATTTTTGTTAAAGGCAGGGTCTTGTTATGTTGCCCAGGCTGGTATTATACTCCTGGCCTCAAGCAATCCTCTTGCCTCTGCCTCCCAAAGTGCTGGGATTACAGATGTGAGCAACTGTGCCTGGCCCTACTTTTTCTTTAAATAAACTGCCATGGGAAAATTTCCATCAATACAGAAAGAAATAAAATAAGTTGTTCAACTTCTCAACCCTCCCTCACAGGCGTGTGACAAAAGAGGTTAGAAAAAGCAAGTCTTGGCTGGGTGTGGTGGCTCATGCCTGTAATCCCAGGACTCTGGGAGGCCAAGGTGGGTGGATCACCTGAGGTCAGGAGTTCGAGACCAGCCTGACCAACATGGTGAAACCTCATCTCTACTAAAAATACAAAAATTAGCTGGGTGTGGTGGCGGATGCCTGTAATCCCAGCTACTCAGGAGGCTGAGGCAGGAGAATTGCTTGAACCTGGGAGGCGGAGGTTGCAGTGAGCCGAGAACTCGCCATTGCACTCCAGCCTGGGCAACAGAGTAAGACTCTGTCTCAAAAAAAAAAAAGCAAGTCTCCTTTCCCGACTGTCAAAGGTTTGTTATAATGAAGCATCCCAGAGGAAAAATGTGTCTTTTTTTTTTTCTTTTTGAGACAAAGTCTCACTCTGTTGCCCAAGCTGGAGTGCAGTGGCGTGATCTTGGCTCACTGCAACCTCCACCTCTGGGGTTCAAGTGATTCTCCTGCCTCAGCCTCCCGAGTAGCTGGGACTACAGGCATGCACCACCATGCCAGGCTAACTTTTTTGTATTTTTTTTTAGCAGAGATGGGGTTTCATTATGTTGGCCAGGCTTGTCTTGAACTCCTGACCTCGTGATCCACCCACCTCGGCCTCCCAAGGTGCTGGGATTACAGGTGTGAGCCACTGCACCAAGCCAAATGTGTCTATCTTTATTACAATTACACCCAGCCTTCATTTGACCAAATGAGTCTTTACCATACCCACCAATTCTGCAACTTCCTTTTTCAACTTCCCAGTCCATCCTGAACAGCATGGCAGATCAATCCAACTATAGCTCCCTAATCCCTATTGGTGCCCAGGATGACAGTATATGAATATGTGCTGACTCTACTTTGTAAGTCCCCTGACAAATGAGTACAGCTTGGTTTCAGGTTTTGCCACTACAATCAAGGTCACAGTGAACGTCTTCACCCAATCTTGGCAAACTTTGGAGAGCACAGCCATGGGGAATGTTCCTCACCAGGGGATTACTGCCATTCAGCAACTTTTTTTGAACTATAAATACCTTATCAGCCTGAGTCAGGTACTCCAGTGGCCAGCTTTAAGGGAAGGCTTTCCTGGAAACAGCACCCCAGACGGTGCAGTGCCATCCTCGCCATGTGGCATGGCTGAGCACACCCAGACTGATCACACAGCACTAGGCTTTTAATGCACTTCAGCTCTGCCACTCACAGCAGATGGCTGGAAAGGCCCCGCCACACACCCAAAGACCATCACATGGACTGATCACCCTAAGTGACATTCAGGAAATCCAGATTCCCATCAGGACCCCACAACTTCCTTGCCCTGGAGGCGTCTCACTCTGTCACCTGAGCTGGAGGACAGTGGCACAATCTCAGCTCAGTACAGACTCAACCTCCCGGGCTCAAGCAATCCTCCCACCCCAGCCTCCCAAGTAGCTGGGATACACCACCACACCTAGCTGATTTATTTATTTTTTCCAGAGATGGGTTGGTTTTTTTGTTGGTTTTTTTTTTTTGAGACAGAGCCTCACTCTGTCACCCAGGCTGGAGTGCAGTAGCGTGATCTTGGCTCACTGCAACCTCTGCCTCCCGGGTTCAAGAGATTCTCCTGCCTCAGCCTCCCCAGTAGCTGATATTACAGGTGCTCGCCACCATGCCCGCCCAGGTAATTTTTTTGTATTTTTAGTACAGACGGCGTTTCACCATGTTGATCAGGCTGATCTCAAACTCCCGACCTCACATGATCCACCTGCCTCAGCCTCCCAGAGTGCTGGGATTACAGGCGTGAGCCACTGCACCCAGCCCATTTTCAGGTCTGAAAGTGGCTCTTGGCCAAAGTAACTGGACTCTGACCAGCCACACATGGAGGCCACTGCTCCTAGGACAAGCAGCAAATGATCACAGCTGACAAGAGTTTGGACGATCACCCTCGTAGCATGCACAGCCCACACAGGCACACCGGCATCACCCTCGTTCTCCAGACGTGAGGATGTCTGCCAACCCACCCCTGCAGAATCACCGCTAGGGTAGACACTGAGGCAAGTGCTTGATGTGGGGAAACTTAGCTGGTCTCTGAGGCAACCCCTACCACCCTACACACAAGGAAAAGAAGGCATGTTACATGCACTGTCACTGACACACGGACACTGCTTACATACTTCCAGGTGGAAATAAGCTTCAGAGGAGCAGGGAGAAAACCAACCTGTGTGCATGTGCACATGTGTACGTGTTTCAAAGAGGAGATGACAGATGTGTATGTGCACAGGAACTTTCTGGAAGACTTCACAGGAAAACTTTTCTATTTTTTAAATTTATTTAGAGACACGATCTTGCTGTCGCCCAGGCTGCAGTGCAGTGGTGTCACCATGGCTCACTGCAGCCTCAACTTCCCAGGCTCAAGCCATCCTCCCACCTCAGCCTCCTGAATAGCTGGGAATAGAGGTATGAGCTGCTGCGCCTGGCTACAGGAAACTTTACAAAGGCTGCTTCTGGAGGGTTAGCTGGGAATGGGGATGAGGAAATTTTTTTTTTTTTTTTGACAGAGTCTCCCTCTGTCGCCCAGGCTGGAGTGCAGTGGCGCAATCGCAGCTCACTGCAACCTCTGCCGCACGGGTTCAAGCGATTCTCCTGCCTCAGTCTCCCAAGTAGCTGGGATTGCAGGCGTATGTCACCAAAACTGGCTAATTTTTGTATTTTTAGTGGAGATGGGGTTTCACCATGATGGCCAGGCTGGTCTCGAACTCCTTACCTCAAGTGATCCACCCACCCCGGCCTCTCAAAGTTCAGGAATCACAGGCATGAGCCATCGCGCCCAGCCAGGGTTGAGGAAATTTTACAATGTTTTATCTGTTTCTAGACTGGGTGATAAGGGCGTATGACAAAAGAGATTAGAAAAAGCTCCTTCCGGCCAGGCGCAGTGGCTCATGCCTGTAATCCCAGGTGAGGCAGGCAGATCACCTGAGGTCAGGGGTTTGAGACCAGCCTGGCCAACATGGTGAAATCCCGTCTCTACTAAAAATACAAAAATTAGCTGAGCAGGGTGGCGCATAATTGTAATTCCAGCTACTCGGGAGGCTGAGGTAGGAGAATAGCTTGAATCCAGGAGGCGGAAGTTGCAGTGAGCTGAGATAGCACGACTGCAGTCCACTCTGGGCGAGAGAGTGAGACTCCATCTCAAAAAAAAAAAAAGAAAAAAGAAAAAGCTCCTTCCTTTCCTGACTGTCCTGTCTCTCAGGGGCCCCACTTTTCATTTGAAGCCTCTGTGGTTTGTCACCATGAGTCCATAGGTGTCTACAATTCAGGAAAGAAACTGGCCCCACTTCTGCCAGCAGCAGATTCCTTCAGAGCAGAGCCAGGAGAAATTCAGGCCTCAGCAGAGACTCCAGGGTCAGCGATCACACAGGCAACCCCTCCCTTAAGCTGCAGTGAGAACCTGAGTCCTGCCTACAAGAAGAGGGAAGAGCTGCCCCTTAGGGCTCCCAGATTCCCAAATAACTCACACACACGGCCAAGGGTGAGTCCGGCCCAGTAGCCACTTACCTGGCAGAAAGACTTCATCTTGTCCAGAACCTTGTTGACCTCTGGCATCACATCCTTGCCGTCTACCAGGATGGGTGTGTTTGACCGGTTCCGCAGAGCCACGTGCAGCACGGCTCGACCCTGGGGATTACGGTCAGGATATAAAGACTGTCCCCCCCAACCCCAGGCAGCCATGCTCCCAGCTGGGCATGGTGCCATAGCTCGGCCCTCTATCCACTAGACAGGCAGGCCCTGAGGTCTCTGTTAGCACCATAACCTTGTTCCAAGAACCCACTGTATGCTTAGAGGAGTAGGAGCTCCCCAAGGACTTATGTGCTGCAGACAGTCAGGAGGAGAGGAGGGGACCCATATATGCCTAGGACAGGCCCCGAAGGCCTGCCAGAGATGCTCAGGGCATGAACAGTGAGAGAAAAGAGGAACAGTGAGCAAAGGCAGAGAATGGCAACAATACATGTCAGAAACAAGCAATAAATGCTTTCAGAGGCCGGGCGCCATGGCTCACGCCTGTAATCCCGGAACTCTGGGAGGCCATGGCAGGTGGATAACTTGAGGTCATGAATTCGAGACCAGCCTGGCCAACATGGTGACATCCTGTCTCTACTAAAAATACAAAAATCAGCCAGGTGGGGGTGGCACACACCTGTAGTTCCAGCTACTCAGGAATCTGAGGCAGAGAATCGCCTGAACCCATTAGACAGAGGTTGCAGTGAGCCAAGATCGCACCACTGCACTCCAGCCTGGGCGACAGAGCAAGACTCCATCTCAAAATAAATAAATAAATAAACGCTTTCCGAAGATGAGTGCTCATGAAGCCTGAAGTAACCTCATCCTCCCAATGTGTGTCCATGGTGTTTGCTGGCACGTTTTAGGCAGTGTCCTCAGCTCCTTGGATTTGCAGCAAGGCATGCAACTCAAGCTTCCCTCACCAAGCAGCCCGATAACTACCAACTGCCAGGAACCAAACCAGACTTGAAGTCTGTGACGGGTGCCAGGCGGCTGGCCCAGCCACGTGAGTGAAATGGCCTGAAGTCAGCAGAGGAGTCCTTGAGGGAAGGTCTAACGACCCCAGGTGGGCAGGAAAAGGATCATCTTGGGATTCCGACCCAGTGAGAGGCTTGCTAAGGTGGAGGGCTTCATGCCACCCCACCCTCACCCTGCCAGACCCCACTCCTGCGCCACATTTTATTGGCAAATGCACTCCTCCAGAAAGCCTTCCTTGATTGCATCCTCTCTCAGCTTAGACCCACAATGCAAGACAGGTTGAGTGTGAATCTCCATTCTGCCTCTTACAGCTATGACATCTTAGATAAGTGATGTGACCTCTGAACCTCAGACTCCTCACATGTAAGAGGAGGATAATGACATCATGAGGACAGAGTCTGGGTGCTCAGTGTCCATTATACCTCCAGGCTGGGCTCCCATACTGAGTCAGGAACAGGGGCCCCCAGGCCTGGCCTCACCACTGCTTCCTATTGACTCCTACTGCTTGAGTAGGCTGAAGTCTTTGGTGATCTAAGATTCTTCTTGTCGCTACTAAAACTTGCATTGAGGATATATTAGAGTTAACTTCTCCAAGAAAATGTCAGCCTTGAGAAACTCTCCCTGTGGGTATGAGATATGCTCCTCCCAGGCAGACACTGGGAACCATTCCAAGGAGCTCACCAAACCAATCTTGTGGAAGGCACACCCCAAAGCCCTGCTACAAGCAGGAGGAAAAAGGCCTTCAGGCCCCTCATTAAGCAAAAGCATTGCCCAAGAGAAGGGGTGAAGACACAGGGTGATGCGGCTAACAGTCAGATAAACCCCAAAGGGAAGGAAGGAGGCCCCAGAGGGTATGTGGGGCCTGCTCACCTCGGTGTAGTTGATCTTCTCACCATTGAACATCCGCTCCCGGGCGGCCTCCACGCCCCTGGACTTGGCCTAGGAAGAGACGATACTGAGGCCTGGTCCCACCCACACTGGCCACCCCAAGTGTCAGCCCCCAAACACAAGGCTTGGTGCTGTCCCCAATGAGACAGACAGACGGCTGCTGTCTGGTTCCCTCCCCTGCTGTCTGGGAAGGGTCTACTCAGACATCAGACACTGGGGTCCCTGGGATGCTGCTTAGAACCTAAGCCAGGGACAGGTGCCTCACCAGCACAGAGGAGGTGACTGAGGTCTAATGAGAGGAAGAACTCAAGATACTCAAGGTCCTGGGGACTCCCAGGAGCCCAGCTCACCCACCACTCTGTCGGTTACCAGTTATGCCTCCCCAAGCAGAACATTACCAAGTCCACCAGCATCCGCATCACGTCCTCCGTCACCAGGTTCTTGGAGTAATCCACCAGGATATGCCCATGGTTGGTGTTGAGGGTCAAGCTGCAGAAAGATGGAGATGCTGCTGACCACACCCTGGTCTCCCTAGCGGGGAGCCATGCCCTAAGCAGGAGCTGTTCCCAGAAGAAACATCCTCCCTGACCCACGCCCCACAAGGGCCGCGGCCACCCAGCACAGTGGTGGTGTCTGTCACCTGCTGGCCCACCAGGATGATCTGCAACAGCAGCCCAGAGAAAGAAGCCATCCTCACAGACCGTAGATGCAGGCAGACCCTGGATGAGGAGCCCGGACTGAAGTGGGGGACCACCCCTTCCCAGGGCTTCCACTTTCTGCCGTAAGTTACTCAGGCACCCATCCAGATGACAGGGATGGCCATCGGGACGTCTAGCCCGGAGCCACAGTCGCTCCCCTCCCCCGCCTCCACCAGTATCAGTGATCAGAGCTCCCTTGGCCGCACTCCCGCCCATGATTTGCTCAAACACTCCTTCCCACTTCCCGGTCGTGCACAGGTGTCTTCTGCAGGAATCACGCCCGACGTCTCCATCCTTCCACCCAGCTCCCTCAAACACCCCCGCCCGGGCTGCCCGCCCTGCAGACGCTCCCAAGCTCATGTGGCCAGGAGCGGATGGAAAGGGACAGCCCTTTCCCGCTTGCTGCGTCAGCCAAGGCCTCTCTTCACAACTGCGAAAGGAGCCCCTGCTCAAATGGCCAGAGCTGCACGGGGAGGAGGAGGGGAAATGTCCCCACGGAGGGGCCCGTTTTTCCTCGTAACGAAGCAGACCCGGGGCCGAGACTCCCGGCGAGGCTGCAAGCCCCCAGGAACGCACTCCAAGGAGACTCCAAGGACGAAGTGCGGACTCGGCCTGGGCCCCAGTCCGTGGCCTGGAGGTCGGGGACTGGGGTCCCCGGGCACCGCTGCCCCCGCCTCCAGACCCCAGGCCCGCGTGCCCGGTTCCGGGCGCCGCGCGTGGCAGCCCCCGCCTCCGGCCCGCCCGCACCTGAAGTGGTTGAAGCGGTCCTTGTTGGCATCGAAGAGGCGGCGCAGGTTCAGCTCGGAGCGGTGCTCGCGGTACCATTGCTGCAGCTTCTGGAACTGGGGGTCCCGGGTGAGAGCGGCCATGGCGGGACTAGAAGGTACACTGAGTGAGACGCGAGCCGAGGAGGAAGGAGCGCCGGCAGCGCGCAGCAAGCGAGGCGCGTGGGCGCGCGGCGGCCTTTATGGCGCAGGCGCCCGGCCCGGCCCGGCCCGGCCCCACCCCTGAGCCCCGGCCCCGCCCCCGACCCGCGCCCCGATACCCAGGCCGGGTGCCCGCTGAGCGACCTTGCCCGCGGCCGCTGATCTGGGGCCTCAGCTCCTCTCTCCCTACCTCTTGCGCCGCCGCTTTGCTGGCCTCTGCCCGGAAGTGGCAGTGGGGAGGGTGGGCAGAGCCCGGGGATCACTGGAGCCCAGGTGTTGGAGGCTGCAGAGAGCTACCATCGCGCCGCTGCACTCCCTGTGCACTAGTCGGCTTCATTCATTCATTCGACAAAACTCTATAGATCGAACACCTTCCACGTTACAGGCAGTGTTCTAGGCGCTGTGGATACATATGTGCCAAATAAGCAAGTACAACAGATGATGTGTGTCTGCTGGTGGTAAGGGCTATTGAGGAAAACCAAGATGAAAAGGGTGCTGAGAATCGGGGTTGCAATTAAGAAAAAAGTGACTAGGCCGGGCGCGGTGGCTCACGCCTGTAATCTCATCACTTTGGGAGGCCGAGGCAGGCGGATCATGTGAGGCCAGGAGTTCCAGACCAGACTGGCCAACCTGGTGAAACCTCATCTCTACTGAAAAAAAAAATGCAAAAATTAGCCGGGCCTGGTGACACGTGCCTGTATTCCCAGCTAACTCGGGAGGCTGAGGCAGGATAATCACTTGAACCTGGGAGGTGAAGACTGCAGTGAGCCACTGTACTCCAGCCTGGGTGGCAGAGTGAGACTCCATCTCAAAAAAAAAAAAAAAGATGAGGTCAGAGAGCAAAAGGGAGGCAACAAGATCACGTAAGACCTTGTAAGTCATTGTAAGAACTCTGGGGCTGGGCACTCCTGCCTATAATCCCAGCACTTTGGGAGGTGGGATAGCTTGACGCCAGGAGTTCAAGCCGAGCCTGGGCAAGACAGCAAAACACTGCTTCTAAAATACTAAAAATAAATTAGCGGGGCATGTGGTGGTGCATATCTGCAGAGTCCCAGCTACTCGGGAGGCCAAGGCAGGAGGATCACTTGAGTCCAGGAGTTAGAGGCTGCCGTGATTACCACCACTGTACTCCAGCTTGGGTGACACAGCAACACCTTGTCTTAAAAAAAAGAAAAGAAAAGAAAAGAAAATAGGGAAAGGCTGACAACAAAAGAAATAAGTGGTCACTGAGGGGTCACAGGACTTTCCAGGGAACAGCCCTGTCCACATGGCCCTTTTCTAAGAACTGTCAACTCTTAAGATTTCACTGAGCTTCCACACCTAGCACAACCCTGGTAGTGCTGAACAGTATCTGTTCTACTGGAGTTCTTTTTTTGTTTGTTTGTTTGTTTGAGATGGAGTCTCGCTCTGTCACCAGGCTGGAGTGCAGTGGCGTGATCTCAGCTCACTGCAACCTCCACCTCCCTGGTTCAAGCGATTCTCCTGCCTCAGCCTCCTGAGTAGCTGGGACTACAGGCGCACGCCACCACACCCAACTAATTTTTGTATTTTTAGTAGAGATGGAGTTTCACCATGTTGGCCAGGATGGTCTCAATCTCTTGACCTCATTATCCGCCTGCCTCAGCCTCCCAAAGTGCTGGGATTACAGGCATGAGCCACTGCGCCTGGCCTCTACGGGGGTTCTGAGAAACACTCCAATCAGGGTTTTCTAAGCCAGTTACTCATCTACACAGAAGAGAATTCCCACCCCAAATCCTCTGTTTCAGAACAAAACCTCAACCAATGGGAAGGCGAGTCTCAGTAGCCACTGCCCCATTATCACTTACCCTGTGATTCCTCAGATGACTCTAGCCCAATAGTAACCACTGACTCCCTCTGACTCCTCCTTCTTTTTTTTTTTTTGAGACAGGGTCTCACTCTGTCACACCCAGGTTGGAGTGCAGTGACACGATCTTGTCTCACTACAGCCTCTGCCTCCCAGGCTCAAGCGATCTTTTCAACTCACCCTTCTGAGTAGCCAGGACTACAGGTGTGCACCACCATGCCCAGCTAATTTTTTCCTTGTAGAGACAAGCTTTGTTATTTTTTGTACAGACGAGGTTTCATCATGTTGCTTAGGCTAGTCTCGAATCCTTGGGTGCAAGTGATCTGCCTGCCTTGGCTTCCCAAAGTGCTGGGATTACAGGCATGCAGCACTGCACCTGCAAACTGAGACTGCCTTTTTCTAGTAGGTTATTTTGGTGACCAGATGGACGGCTGTTGTTCTTTGTCTAAAACCATCCTCTCCCACCCGTGTTTCTACCCCTGCCTGAATCCATCAGAGATGAGCACATAACTTATGCCAGCTAAACAGGGTCCTTTTCCAGGGCCCTGCAGCCAGCAGCAGAAAGTCTCTGCTTTTTATGGTGTTAAGCTGCCTGTCAGAAAGGACAGACCTGAGCTCTAGCCCCTGGTCTTGAGGAAAATAACGAAGAGAATGATCCCCACAGAGATGTCAGAGTGAATCTCACAGTGCCCAGGTTCCTGGGGCCAGGCCACCTCTACCTGCAGCTAGAATGTAAACCAACGATTCCCTTTAGTGTCTGTTTGGAGTTCAGTTGTCATTCACAACTCCAAGTCTTTCCAAAGATGTTACGGGTGTTCACCTTTCCACTGCCACAGTCTTGTCCAGTGTCCTCTCCCGACCACCAGGAACCCTAGAAACAGCTTTGGGTATTGCGAAAGAGGCAGGAGGTGAGGCCTCTGATGATTGCCATTTCAAAGGTTTCCCCTGCCTTTTAATCTTCCATAATGTACACCTCTGCAACTTGGCCTCTGTGATTCCCAGAAGCTTCAACTATTCCAGATTTCACATTTACTTTGAAACTCCAGTTACATGGATTTTCTTTTTTTCTTCTTTTTTTTTGAGATGAAGTTTCACTCTTGTTGCCCAGGCTAGAGTGCAATGGCACGATGTTGGCTCACTGCAACCTCTGCTTCCCTGCAACCTCCACCTCCCAGGTTCAAGCAATTCTCTTGCCTCAGCCTCCCTAGTAGCTGGGGTTACAGGCACCCGCCACCTCACCAGGCTAATTTTTTTTTTTTTTTTTTTTTTGAGATGGAGTCTCCCTCTATCACCAGGCCAGAGTGCAGTGGCACCATCTCGGCTCACTGCAACCTCCGACTCCCTGGTTCAAGCAATTCTCCTGCTTCAGCCTCCCGAGTAGCTGAGATTACAGGCATGCAACACTACGTCCAGCTAATTTTTGTATTTTTAGTAGAGTTGGGGTTTCACTGTGTTGACCAGGATGGTCTCGATCTCCTGACCTCGTGATCCGTCTGCCTCAGCCTCCCAAAGTGCTGGGATTACAGGCGTGAGCCACTGCACCCGGCCTAATTTTTGTATTTTTAGTAGAGATGGGGTTTCACCATGTTGGCCAGGGTAGTCTCGAACTCCTGACCTAAGGTAATCCACCCACCTCGGCTTCCCAAAGTGCTGGGATTACAGGCATGCAACACCGCGCCCAGCCTGGATTTTCTATGTTAGCAGGAAACTAGGTTCCTATCTGGTGGGCCATAAATCACAGTGGCTACAGGGAGAAAGCACAGAAAAGTAAGAAGAAAAGTCTAATCCAAAGCCATTTTGGATTAGAAAGTACTAATCCAAAGCCATTCATCATCATACTACAAAACTACCAACACGGCCACTACTCCAGCCAGGTTTACTACGTGCACAGCTCCATGCTAAATCCTTTCCATGTATCCCTCATGGCAGTCCTATGAAGGATACCCTGTTGTCCTCCCCATTTAACAGAGAGGTTAAGAAATGTGAAATGAGGCCGGGCACGGTGGCTCACGCCTGTAATCCCAGTACTTTTGGAGGCTGAGGTGGGTGGATCACGAGTTCAGGAGTTCGAGACCAGCCTGAGCAACATGGTGAAACCCCCGTCTCTACTAAAAATACAAAAAAATTAGCTGGACGTGGTGGCGGGCACCTGTAATCCCAGCTACTTGAGAGGCTGAGGCAAGAGAATGGAGTGAACCCAGGAGGCAGAGCTTACAGTGAGCTGAATCATGCCACTGCACTCCAGCCTGGGCGACAGAGCGAGACTCTGTCTCAAAAAAAAAGGAAAGAAAGAAATGTGAAACAAGGCCGGGTGCAGTGACTCACACCTGTAATCCCAACACTTTGGGAGGCCGAGGCAGGTGGATCACTTGAAGCCAGGAGTTTGAGACCAGTCTGGCCACCATGGTGAAACCCTGTCTCTACTAAAATTACAAAAATTAGCCAGGCGTGGTGGCGGACACCTGTAATCCCAGTTACTGGGGAGGCTGAGGCAGGAGAATCACTTGAACCCGGGTGGCAGAGGTTGCAGCGAGCCAAGATCATGCCACTGCACTCCGGCCTGGGTCACAGAGTGACACCCTGTCTCCAAAAAAATAGAAAGAAAGAAATATGAAACAAGCCACTCTGCTCTTAACTAGAGAATCAACCCAGGCTGCCTGGTTCCTTCCTGAGACCTGTGCTCCTGCCAGTTCCTCTTCAGTCCTAGGAAAAAGGTGGAGGGAAAGTGGAGGAGCAGGCAATCCCTTTCTCCACTCCTCATCATCCCAGTTATGTCTTATTAGTTGAAACAGTGTCTCGCTCTGTCACCCAGGCTGGAGTGCGGTGGCATGACCATAGCTCACTGCAGCCTTGAACTCTGGGCTCAAGCGATTCTCTCACCTCGGTCTCCTGAGTAGCTAGAACTACAGGCATGACCACCCCGTCCCGGCTAATTTTCTTATTATTATTATTTGTAGAGACTGAGTTGCACTGTGTTGCCCAGGCTGGTCTCAAATTCCTGGCTTCAAGAGATCTTCCTGCCTCAGCCTCCCAAACTGTTGGGATTACAGGTATGCGTCACTGTGCCTGGCCATAAGGTCATTTTATATTCTGTTGTCTATCACCATCAGTACAATCACTACCATATGCTGAGCCAAGTCCTGCCGATCGCAGAGCTTAGGGCTCAGAATCCCCAGGATCCTGGGGGGTAGTGAAGCTGGGAGGGGTCATGCTCCCAGGCCAGGGACTGACCAAGGAGAATCGAAAGGAAACCTAGCCCAGAAATTCCAAGAGAACATGCTGCAGAGCCGGACACCTTCACGTGCCCCCAGCAAGATGATGTGGCCCTGAGAGAGGAGCGGACCAGAGGGTACACCTGACAGCAGAGGCAAGTTAGGAAGTCCGGGGACAGTCCTAACTCTGGATAGCAAAGATTTAATTTCAAGCATAAGGCAGCCCTGGAAAAGCAATTGACTGCCACTGAGTATTGATGAAGCTAGCACTTACTGCAGGCTGTGGCGGGCACAGTTCCAAACAAGAGCCCCGTTCTAAAGATGGGGAAACTGAGGTATCGGCATTTAGACATCACAGACCTTACTTCAGGGCCGCTGGACAGGGGTCAGGCAGGCCCTGGAGCACAGGTGGCCATGGGAGTGAAGGCAGAGGGACTGGGGCAGAGGACTGGTGGGGTGGTCAGTTCTGGGGCCTGAGCTGAAGAAGTCGGGAGCGGGGCGTGGCGTGGCGTTTCCACGCCCATGGATTTTAGACAGCTGTTCCGGGGGAGGAGGCGAGCCCACCGAGGATGCTGAGTCATGTTGACCGGCGAAGGCGAGGGGACCACGCCTCTGGAGCTACCGGGGTTGGCTCATCGCCTCCGGGGAGGCCACGGAGCAGGTGTAGGCGGGGTTGAGCGCAGGCGCGGATGGGGCGGGGGTAATGCGCACGCGTGTGCGTGTGGGCCAGCACGTCCGGGTGGTCAGGACGCGCGCTTGTGCGCATGTCCCCGCGCAGGGTCGGGCGCTGGGGTGTGGAGACTGAACCTTGCAGACACCCGGGTCCGCACGTCTGGGATGGACGTGGTGAGTGCACGTGCGCACGCGCTGCGTAGGGGCGGCTGCGCTCATGCGCACATCGGGAGTGGTGCTTGGAGAGGCCACCTACTCACCGCGCCCCCAAGAGGCCGGGGGTTTGTCCCTGGTGTTGGCCCTACCCTGCGCGATCCAGTCTTGTCGTTTCGGGGCTTCATTACCAGAGCCCCGTGAATCCTTTGCTAGATGCTTAAAAACATTTTCCCCATTGTACATAGCTGTTTCCACGAGAATAAAAAGCTTTACATTTATTTGAGGCCTGCTTGGGCCTATCCGCAGCTCCACCGTAGTGCTAATCCCCTCCCAGTCCTGGAACAGCCCAGATGATGTATTTAATAGTATTCTTTTAGCCCAACGCGAGAATGTTTTCGTCTGGTTGTTTTTGTTTTTCGTTTTTAGAGACAGTCTCGCTATATTACCCAGGCTGGAGTGCAGTGTCAAGATCTCGACTCACTGCAGCCTTGAACTCCTGGGCTCAAGTGATCCTCCCACAGTGCTGGGATTACAGGCGTGAGCCACCGCACCCGGCCTCTAGTTCTGTCTTTTTGCTCAGTATTAGAATTCGTAAGTTCTGGCCCCAGCAACTCGTCCTTTCATCTGTCTCAAGTTGCACTGTGGTGGTCACAGGAGCTGTCCTGCACCTTGCACATGTGGCCATGAACAAGACTCGCTCCTTGCTCTCATGGGGCCTTCATTCCAGTGAGACACAAATGCAAACACAAAATTCCAGAAGAGTGCTGAGTGCTATCATGAGAAACGAAGACAGGCTGGAAGATGGGCTCTGACCCCAGAAAACCGATGGAGAGGCCCAAGCAGCCTTGGGAGCAACAGGCAAGTTGGAGGACACACGGCAAGGCTACTTGGAAGTAGGGGAGGGTGCATGGGAAACCCTGAGGCTGTGGGGGGAGAGGCAGGAGCCAGGTGAAGTCCAGGTAGATGGCAGTGGAGATGTAAGAACATGGTGGAATTTTTTTGTTTTTGAGACGGAGTCTTGCTCTGTCCCCCAGGGTGGAGTGCAATGGTGAGATCTCAACTCACTGCAACTTCCGCCTCCCAGGTTCAAGCGATTCTCTGGGATTATAGGCACCTGCCACCATGCCCAGCTAATTTTTGTATTTTTTAGTAGAGATGGGTTTTCACCATGTTGGTCAGGCTAGTCTCGAACTCCTGACCGCGGGTGATCCGCCCGCCTCAGCTTCCCAAAGTGCTGGGATTACAGGCGTGAGCCACCGCGCCTGGCCAGAACATGGTGGAATTTGAGTGTGCTTGGGAATACACTTATAGGACTTGCTGATTAGTTGAATGAGGAAATAAAAGAACGAAGAATATCTTCTGGGATTTCAGCCTGAGCAACTGGGTTGCTGGTGGATGGTGGTTCTCTTATCAAGGATGGGAAAGATGGGTTGTCTCCCCTAAAATACTGAGTTTTAAAGGCAGGGACTGTATCTTTGCAGTCCTGGCTCCTAGCAAGGGCCTAGCCCTTATATGACATTCGTGAATGTTGAAATGAATGTGACACGCCTGAAACAATCCTTCTCCCTCACCTAGGCCCACATCTCCAAGTCAATATTCCAGTACAAGCCACATCCAGTCCCCTCACTGACACACACAGGCCTGGGCCCAGGAGCTCACCCCTGTGCTGTAAGGCTAGGTGCATGTGTTATTTCCAGAGTCTACCCTTGGAGGTGCCTCAGACTCCTGGGTACCTGTCGCTGGGAGGTAGCCAGTCATGCTGTCCACATACATGCTTTTGGGCAGTAGAGAAGCTGATCATTGGGAAGGTTTATTTCCTGTCTCCACAACAGGAGGCAGGTCACAGCAGTGGCCACACAGTGCACAAAAGGCCATCCCCTCACAGCCGCATGGTTGGCATGCAGCATCTCAGCCTCCAAACTGGAAGCCCCCTATCCAAGGAGCCCCCAGGTGGGAGAGGAAGGTCACAAGCCTCCCAAGTACCTCAAGATGCCTGCGCATCCTCCCCCATTTCTCAGATGGGCCAAGGCCTGTGAAGCCCTTGCAGTAGTAGCTCAGGTGTAGCATCTGCTCAGCTTCCCTCCCCACTCATTTGCACACAGCCAGAGCTGCGGGACTTCTGCCCTCTGGCCTCCAGCACTGCTGTGAATCAGAACTAGTCAAGAGAACTGGGTGCTTGTGTTAAATGGGAACACTCTGGAATAAAATATGGGCTTTTTTAAAGAGATGGGGTCTCACTATGTTGCCCAGGCTGGTCTTGAACTCCTGGCCTCAAGCAATCCTCCCAGGTCAGCCTCCCAAATTGCTGGGATTACAGGCGTGAGCCAGCACACCCAGCCCCTGCTAGCTTTTTAATATGAACTTCCAGTGTATTCTTGAGCACTCTCAGGCAACATGGCCGTTACCGAGCAACTTTGTCCTGAGGTGCATTTGGAAGGCTCTGGGACTTGGTCCCCATGCTCAACTTCAGGGCACCTTGGCAGAAAGAAGAGTGGTTCCTACACCAGCAGCTTATATATTAATGCCCACATTACTCCATTTTCTTCAGGTCGTCAAAAAAGGTTCCACTGAGGTGCTGTCTTTCTGTAAATGAAAATGAGCTGAAATGCTCCTGTGACCTGCCCTCCATTTGTGGGTCTCATGATACTATCTTTCTTCTGCTTAACACGATGGCATCATCCAGTGAGACAGGTCCTGTTTTTGTTTTTTTCTTTTTTTCTTTTTCTTTTTTGAGACAGAGTCTCACTCTGTTGCCCAGGCTGGAGTGCAGTGGAGCAGTCTTGGCTCACTGCAACCTCTGCCTCCCGGGTGCAAGCAGTTCTCCTGCCTCAGCCTTCCAAGCAGCTGGGATTACAGGTACCTGCGACCATACCACCTAATTTTTTGTATTTTTAGTAGAGATGGGGTTTCGCCATGTTGGGCAGGCTGGTCTTGAACTCCTGACCTCATGATCTACTGTCTCAGCCTCTCAAAGTGGTGGGATTATAGGCGTGAGCCACAGTGCCTGGCTTTTTTTTTTTTTTGGAGACAGCCCCATCGTTCTGTCGCCAGGCTGGAGTGCAGTGGTGCGATCTCGGCTCACTGCAACCTCTGACTTCCTGGTTCAAGCGATTCTTCTGCCTAAGCCTCCTGAGTAGCTGGGATTACAGGCACACGCCACCATGCCCGACTAATTTTTGTATTCTTAGTAGAGATGGGGTTTCACCATGTTGGCCAGGATGGTCTCGATCTCCCGGCCTTGTGGTCCACCTGCCTCAGCCACCTACAGTTCTGGGATTACAGGTGTGAGCCACTGCGGCCGGCAGAGACAGGTCCTTCTTATCCCTGTAAGGCACAGTATCTCTGCCATAGATTGGGTCCCTGGTTTGGGAAGAGGGTAAAACAAGCCCTCATTCTTGGGTCTCGTCATTGGACAAGCTGGCTGGGCAAGTCACAGCATCCACATTTGGTGGAACATGGGTGTTGGTAGACCCCAACCCAGAGAGCTTGCACCCTTGCAGAGGACGTCTCCTTCACTACTGCACTGGCTCCCCCTGCACAGGGGCCTAAACCAGCTTGGGCCTTAGGGAAGCCAATAGGGGAGGCGTAGCTGCTTGTTCTCCCTCCTGCCCATCCACTTCAGCTCACCGTAATATCCCAAGTGGTCTTCCCCTTGCTAGAATCAGAGGACAGGCTGACCTAAAAACCAACTCAGTATGCAGCTTTTCAAAGCAATGAGTCAGGCAGGGCTTTTGACATAATGTCCTCTGCAGTTCATTTTAAACAAGGATACAAAGTATTATTAAATGTATATTTTTAATAAAGCCAATAGTTATTTTACTTATAGGAGCTTTAAAAGATACAAAATGTAGAGTTCCAGTTTGGAAGCATTGTAACTATACACACAATGTCCTGCTGATGCCCTAGCAAGGCACCCACGCCCAACCATGCAAAGGACACACACGTTCACACATGCACACACATGCGCTTTGGCGAGACCCCTCTGCCAAGCGCAGCACCTGGAATTACCAGTGTTCAGAGCAAGGCGGTGCCGGGAACACAGCACCTACATGGAGACCACACAAACGGCTTCACACAGTCTCACAGCCCATGGAGATGCAATTAGAAAATGTCTTCCTTAATAGAGAAAAACAAACTGGAAAGTGACAATTAGTGACGTCACCTGTGCTGGAGCATCAAGGATTGACCTCTGTCCAAGGTGAGGCCTTTGGAGAGGCACTATTAAAACATGAGTACTTCAGTATAATGGAACTCGAAATACAGGGTACTGTGGACACATTACTGAAGGAAATAGAAAACTATCTTACAAGTAGAACAGCCATAGACAACTTTAACAGAGATTAGTGTGCACACCGTGACAGCTAACACAGACAAGAGCCACGCAGGGTTGGTGCAAAGCACGTGCCTGAAAATGTCTATATACAAAACAGTTCTTTGTAAACATGGTGAGGTGAATGCTCAGAACCACGGCAAAAGATCATAAATACAGGCAGCAATGCATCCCCACACAGCACAAAAGACAACACCTGAGGCCTGGGAAGAGCCTGACAACACAGTACTAAAAACTCAGGTGGCTGGGCTCAGACACCCTACGGGTCCTCTCAAATTAGTGTGTGTGTTTACATACATACATACATACATATATATATATTCTTTTTTTTTTTTCTTGTTGAGACGGAATCTCACTCTGTCACCCAGGCTGGAGTGCAGTGGCACAATCTCAGCTCACTGTAACCTCCGCCTCCCGGGTTCAAGCGATTCTTCTGCTTCAGCCTCCCGAGTAGCTGGGACTACAGGCGCACGCCACCACACCCGGCTAATTTTTGTATTTTTAGTAGAGATGGGGTTTCACCATATTGGCCAGGCTGGTCTCGAACTCCTGACCTTAGGTGATCCACCTGCCTCGGCCTCCCAAAGTGCTGGGATTACAGGCGTGAGCCACCACGCCCAGCCTCTTTTTGGTATTTTTATATATAAATTTACTTATATCTGTAGAAAAACGAGAACATAAATGTGTTATTACAATCTTTGCTGGAAAAGCTTATATGGAGTTAGAAAGAATAAACCATTTATTAGTAGTTAACATATATTAAAATGGTTTAATGATTTAAGAAAATATAAAAAAAATATTAATACTGTCAAACTTTCATACCAGAAAATATTATGGATTTTTCTCAGACTTTTTCAAAGATGAAATATGAAAAATTTAAATAAGTTTTATATAAAGAACTTTCTGTAACCTCAATTAATATACAGTGGGATATGTCTATTCTATATAGATATATTTATTATTATTTCTCAATTTAAGCACCATTCAATTCTTCTGGATCCATTCTGGCTGGAAAATATCCCTAAATCCACAGGATGTTATCTATTTAATGGCACATGTTAACTGAAAATGAGGTGGATTTTTTTTTTAAGAAAAGACCTTAAATTAATTTCTATCTACATCTTAATTGGTTTGTCTTCTGAGCCAGCTCACAATGTCAATGCAATTTCTAGTGCAGGTGTCTCTGAGTGCCCCTTGACCACACCCCGAGGATTGTGGCAGTGTCCTGGCCATGTGTGGAAGGATCGAAGGGCAGCAGGTGCAGCCTTGCTCTGCACATGGACAGCAGCTGGCTGGTCCACCGCCACGCACCTTCAGCAGTGTACCTCCGGCACAAGTTCCACCATTCTGCTTCAATAAAGCTGGGAAAGGCCGCAGTCCCAGGGTGCTGCTGGGTGGCGAGGAACTGTCCACCCCCAGAAACCCCAGGTGACTGCTTCCAATCACAAATATTCTATATTTTGCCCATTTTGTATAAGCTTAAATATAGATAGTGTTAAACAAACCTCCAGCCAGTATATCTGTTATCTTAAAATATTCAATGCATTTTAGGCAGGAGATGTTTTAACTAAAAACCTACATGAAAAAAAAAGCTATAAAATACAGTGATTGGTGTGGTCATCACTCAAGGTGTGGAGGAGGGAGGAGAGGGTTTCCAAAAAATGGTCAGTTATGCCCTCAGCTTTCAGGCCTGATGTCTTCCCAACACACAGCAGGACTAAAAACCCAAGAGCTGTGTTTCTTCAAGTGTGGCTGTGGCGCCTGCATCAGAGTCACCTGTGGCGCTTACTAGGCATGCAGGTTCCCTAGCAAGCCCCTGAAGGCCAGACGCCTGTGTCTCCAGCTGGCTCTCCAGGGCTCTGATGCCATCGTTTCAGAAGCCAGGTTTAAAGGCTTGGAGCTGCCAACCACCCTTGTCCCCAAGGAACCCTCCCTGGGATGGGGCGCACTGGTCCTCTGAGGGGCTGGTGTCAGCTAAGTGGCCCTGGGGTGGGGACACTCATCCCCACAGCTCTGGGCGGGCAGGCAGGCAGGCAGGCAGGCTGGCTGGCCTGGGGTCAGTACTGGGGCAGATAGGCTGGCCTGCGCTCACCCTTCCCAGGGAAGGCCTTGAAGCCCTTGGGTGCTGCCTTGTGTGCTGGTGGGGGTGGGGGCTGGGGTGGGGTCTGCACATAGGAGAAGGCAGCGGCACTGCAGTCGTTGGTTGCGGCCCACACTGGGGACTGCAGCATCTGCATGGTGTCGTTCCACTGGCTGCCAGGGCTGGTGACTGCATAGAGTGGTGCGCTGGGGCTGGGCAGCGTGCTGGGAAGCGGGGAAGGGTGCTGCCAGGGTGCTTTGGGTGGCCACGTTTTGGTTTTGTTATCCTGAGAAACAAAAGAGAGTTCTTAGTGGCATTTCGGGCAATGTATCATCATTTCCCACCTCCCCAGATGCCTGGCCCTTATTCCCTCCTAGGAAGCCGGGTGAGAGCCCCACTCACTCCCACACCCCTGTCCAACAGAACTTCTTGCAATGATAGCCATGTTCTGTGCCTATACGGTCTAGTATGGTAGCCACTCGCCACATGTGACTAGTGCAAACTGAGGAAAGGAACTTTTTTTTTTTTTTTTTGAGATGCAGTCTGTCTCTCGCCCAGGCTGGAGTGCAGTGGTACGATCTCGGCTCACTGCAACCTCTGCCTCCGGGGTTCAAGCGATTCTCCTGTCTCAGCCTTCTGAGTAGCTCGGATTACAAGCGCATGCCACCATGCCTGGCTAATTTTTGTATTTTTAGTAGAGATGGGATTTCACCGTGTTAGCCAGGATAGTCTCGATCTCCTGACCTCGTTCGTGATCCACCCGCCTTGGCCTCCCAAAGTGCTGGGATTACAGGCGTCGCCACTGCGCCCGGCTGATTGTTTTTAAAAAGTATTTTAGAGGCAGTCTCGCTCTGTCACCCAGGCTGGAGTGCAATGGTGCAATCATAGCTTACTGTAATCTCAAATTCCTGGGTTCAAGCCATCCTCCTGCCTCAGCCTCCTGGGCAGCTAGGACTACAGGCATGTGCCACCATGCCTAGCTGATCTTTTAATTTTTTTGCAGAGACAGTGTCTATATTACCTGGGCTGGTCAAGAACTCCTGGCCTCAAGCCATCCTTCTGCCTTGGCCTCCCAAAGCACTGGGATTACAGGCATCAGCCACCACACCCGGCCTGAATTTTTATTTGTATTTAAATTTACATAGCCACATGTGGTGAATGGCTATCACACTGGACAGCACAGCCGTAGAGCTTCCTGTGGCTCTGAGTCAGCTGAGGTGGCTAATCATTTACACAAAATTAATCACCACAAAGAAGATCCCTCATTACTTTGAGGCCCTCTGAAAACTGCAGCTGTGGAAGCTAGCCCAAGTCTGTGCCCACAGAGCCTGCCTGAATACCTGGTTCACATCCTCCACCGTGGTGAGGAGAGGTGGTGAGGGCAGCGTGCTGGTGTCTTGCTCTCCACTGCTGTGTTTCCTGCAAGAACCAAGAGCTCAGGGCAGTGATTGCTTGGCTTCCTGCCCAGCCCACCTGTAGGGTACACACTAGTGCTAGGCTCCAGCATCTCCAGGCCCTGGTTCTAGGAGGGGAGGAGGCCTGCCTGGGTCAATGGCATAAAGGCGGCTAAGGGGAGCCAGCAGTGAATGACGGCGCTCCTGCACTGCCAGTGCAGGTGGAGGAGCTGGGGGTGGAGGTGGCAGGCAAAGACAGGCACTGGTTTACTCAGCTGCTGAGTCCACCTTCTTTGGCTTTATTATTATTATTATTATTATTTTATTTTTTTTTTTTTTTTTGAGACTGAGTCTCACTGTTTCCCAGGCTGGAGTGCAGTGGCATGATCTCAGCTCATTGCAAACTCTGCATCCCAGGTTCAAGCAATTCTTGTGCCTCAGCGTCCCGAGTAGCTGGGATTACAGGTGCGTGCCACCATGCCCAGCTAATTTTTGTATTTTTAGTAGAGATGGGGTTTCACCATGTTGGCCAGGCTGATCTCGAACTCCTGACCTCAGGTGATCTGCCCGCCTAAGCCTCCCAAAGTACTGGGATTGCAGGTGTGAGCCACCGAGTCCGGCCGGCTTTTTGTTAATTTATTTAAGAGATACTGTTTCCGGCCGGGTGCGGTGGCTCACGCCTTTAATCCCAACACTTTGGGAGGCCGAGGTAGGTGGATCACGAGGTCAGGA